>NC_000008.11:34405557-34708587 GCF_000001405.40 Homo sapiens
ATGTTGAGCATTTGTTCATGTTCTCATCTGTTTATTAATGATAAACTATGTGTTTATCATTGTTTCAGAAATATAAGAAATATTCCTCTATTTCTTTATTGAAGTGACTAAGATTGTTGCGCATTTTAAATTGAGTTATGTGTCTTTTCATTGTTAATTTGTAGGAGTTATTTACATATTCTGGATACAAGTCATTTGCCAGGTACGTGTATTGCCAGTAATTTCTTCCACTCTGCAGCTGTCTGATTCATTTTCTCAAGAGTGTCTTTTGGTGAGCAGAAATTCTTAATTTTGGAGAAGTCCAACTTATTATTATTTTCTTTTGTGTTAGTATTTTGTGATTTATCAAAAGAATATTTCTCCAGCATAAGGTCACAAAGGTATTCTCCTTTGTTTTCTTCTAGAAAGTTTGTGGTTCTAGCTTTTATGTGTAGGTCTCTGGTCCATTGAAAATTAACTTTATGAGTAAAATAATTTTTAAGTCCTTTGTTTTATGTATGAATATCCCAGTGTTCTAGAACTACATATTTGTTGAACAAAAGATCTTGTTCTCACTGAACTGATCTCGTACTTTTGTTGGAATCAACTGATAATATAAGTGGGCCTATCTAAACTCTCTACTGTCTTCCTTTGATTGTGATGTGTAATGTAAGTAGACAAAATAATGAAATTATGCTAATTCCATACTATTTTGATTACTTTTGCTTTATAGTTGGTTGTGGAATTGGGTAGTAAAAATCCTCCACCTCTATTATTTTTCAAATTTATACTGGTTAATCTAGAATTTTGATTAGAATTGCACTGAACCTGAATATTATTTTGAGGAGAACTAATATCTTAACATATTGAGTCTTCTAATATACAAAATAATAAATTTTTTACTTATATAGGACTTTTTTCTCTTGTAGCAAGGTTTTACAGTGTCCAGTGTAGATATCATAGACATTTTACTGTATTTATTTTAAGATGTTTAATGTTCTTTGATTACATTACCAACTGTATTATTTTCTAAGCTTCACTTCTAATTGTGTTGCCATTACACAGAAATACAATTTTATTTAACATTTCTTTTATATCCTATTTACTTGCTCAATTTTCTAATCAGTGCCAGGAGATGTTTTTGTAATTAAATTCCACAATGTTTTGCATGTACAAAATAATTTTATATAAGAATAAAGATAATTTCACTTTATTTTCAATCTTTATGACATTTATTTCTTAACTTGTCTTATTGCACTGGCTAAGACCTGCAGTACAATGAATGTTAAACAGAAGTAGAGTGGACATCCTTATCATGTTCTCAATCTTAAAGAAAGATTGTTGATTGTTTCACCATTGATTATGATATTAACCATGGGTTTCTCTGATGTACACCTTTTAAGTTTAAAAATATTTTCTTCTATTTTTAGTTGGCTGAGAGTTTTTGTCATGAATGCTAATTGAATTTAGTCAAATTTAGTCAAAAAATGTACTTTTTTCTGCATCATTTCTGAAAATCACACTCTTCTTTATTCTTTTAGTGTGGTGATTTACACTGATTAATTTTCAAATATTAAACCAAATAAGCATTCCTGGGATAAATTGCATTCATCACAATGTATTAGCTTTTCATTAATTGCTGGATTTTATTTTTTTCTCATTCAATGAGGAATATTGATCTGCAATGTTTTTCTTTTAGTGGTATTAGAATTATACATGGTTTATCAAATTAATCAGGAACTATATCTTCGATATCACTTATATGAATTTGTATTAGTATTATTTTTTACTTAAATATTTGCTGAAATTCAACCAGTGAAGACATTTACTATTTTCTTTATTAAAATGTTAATTTCTTTAATTGATATAGTGTTAAGATTTTTATTTTATTTTGTTTTAAATTTGGTTTGTTAAGTTTTCTAAGATACTTGTTCATTTTATTTAAGTTGTCAAATTTATTCACATGAAATTGTTTATAATATCTTCATGTGTTTCACAACTATGGTACATTGTGTGACATACCTTCTTTCATTCCCAATATGTTTACTTTTTGTTTTCTCTCTTTTTTATTGATCAGTGATGTTAGGGTTTGTTAATATTATTCATCTGTTCAAAGAATCGATTTTTTACTTTGTTGATTTTCTCTATTGTCTGTATGTTTTATTTCAATGACTTCCACTCACATTATTTTCATTTCTACTATGCTTTTAATTTGCTGTTTATTTCTCTCTTTTTGAGGAGGAGGAGTGGTTGGAATAAAAGAGAAAACATAGGGGAAAGGCTCCATGACATTGGTCTGGGCAGAGATTTTTTTGGATATCATTCCAAAAGCACAGGCAACAAAAGCAAAATTAGACAAATAGGATTGTATCAAATTTAAAAGCTCCTGTCCAACAAATTGAGCAATCAACAGAGTGAAGACACAACCTTCAAAATGGGAGAAAATATTTACAAACCATATATCTGGTAGAGGTTAATATTTCAATGATTTTGTACCTTTCTTCTTTTCCAAAATATACAGTTAAAGGTATAAATTTTCTTCTAAGGGCTACTTTAGCGATTTTCTACAAATTTTGATATGTTGTGCTTTCATTTTTATTCCATTCAAAACGTATCATAATTTTTGTTGTGACTTTTGATTCATGGATTAGAAGTATTTATTCATGGATTAGAAGTATTAGAAGTATTTCCAAGTATTTGAAGTATTTGGAAATTTTATACATACTTTATGGTATTGATTTCAAATTTAATTTTATTGTCGCCTGAGAACATTCTCTGTATAATAATTATTCTTTGAAAAATATTGAGACTTTTTTACATCTAGTTTTTTTTTTTAATGCCGTATGCTTTGTTATGGTTCCACAGCCACTAGAAACAATGATTATTCTGAAGTCAATGGGTGTGTACTTCTATAAATATCAATTAGATCTAATTGGCATTGTTCAAATCTCTATAGTTTTACTTATATTTTTGTGTGTCTATTTGTCCTTTTTGTTTGTTTTTGAGTCAAGGTCTTACTCTATTGCCCAGGCTGGAGTATAGTGGTGCAATCATGGCTCGCTGAAACCTCAACCTCTTGGGCTCAAACTATCCTCCCACTTCAACCTCTGAAGTAACTGGGACTACAGGCATGCACCACCATGTCTGGCTGTTTTGTATTTTTTTCTGTAGAGAAGGGTTTCACCATGTTGTCCAGACTAGTCTTGAGCTCCCGGGCTCAAGCAATCTGCCAGCCTCAGCCTCCCAAAGTGCTAGGATTACAGGCGTGAGCCACCACGCCTGGCCTCTACTTGTTTTATCAGTTACAGAAAGAGCCATATTAAGATCTCTTTGTAAAATTATGACTTTGCCTTTCTTTCTCTTTACCTTCATCAGTTTTGCTTTTTATTTAAAAAACATGCATAGTAATTATGATTTCTATGTCTTCTTGATGAATATTCCCTTTTATCATTATGGAATGCCTCTGTTTATCTCTGTTAGTATTTTCCGTCTTGAGTTGTTAAGCTTAGTACACTCATTGTACATATTTTTTCACTCTATTGTTTTCTATCTGTCTGTGTCTTCATAAAGTGTGCTTACCATAGATAGCATAAAATTGGGTATTACTTTTTTGGTTCAGTCTGTCAATCTCTGACTTTTAATTGGAGCTACTATGACCTTAATATTAAGGTAGTTTTTGAAACAGTTAAGTTGTCTACCATCTTCATATTTGTTTTAAATTTGTCCCATCTGTTCTTGGTCAATGACACCTTTCCTTTCGCTTTTTTAGTGAAACAAATTCCATTTTATTTGTTTTAGTTATCCATTTTCATGGATTTATTCATTATTCCATTTTATCTCTTCTGTAGCATAAACTTCTCAGCCATTTACACATCTTTTGCCTTATATGTAATTTCTGCATATATGCAAACAATATGACATGTTATTATTTTTACTTTAAACAGTCATTGGCTTTTTAAAGAAATTTGAGAATATAAATATAAGTATCTATTAGGTTGGTGCAAAAGTAATTGCGGTTTTACCATTACTTTTAATGGCAAAACCGCAATTACTTTTGACCAACCTATGTATGTATGTATATATGTATGTATCTATTTATCTAAGACATCTATCTGTACATAGATACTTCTCTTCTTTATGTATAAGTATCTATAGATAGAGAGACAGATAGTGATAAGGATGGAGAGAATAAGAATATGCCTTATATTTACTGGTTCTCTTCACTACTTTCCACAGATTCAGACTTCCATTCTGTTATTACTTTCTTGGGCCTAGAGATCTTATTTTAGCATTTCTTGTAGTACAGGTCTACTAGAGACAAATCTGTCAGTGATTGTCATTTGAATATGTTTTCATTTTTAAAAGATATTTTCACTGGATATAGAGTTTGAGGTTAGAATTTTTTTTAGCACTTTAGAGATGTCATTTATTTTTCTTCTGTTCTTTACTACATCTGTAAAGGAAATAAGAATCACAACTATCTTTGTTCCCTCTGTGTTATATGTCCTTTCTGTCTTACTGCCTTTTTTCAAGTTTCTTTTTATCTTTGGTTTTCTGCAGTTTGACTGTGATGTGCCAAAGTGTTTTTTACTTTGTACTTGTTCTATTTCATTCACTTATCTTAATTTGTGGATTTGTTCCTTTCAATACTGTGAGAAATTGTCAACTATTGTCTTTTTAAACATTTTTATTGCTCCATTTTTTCTTTTTTCTCTTTCTGATGCACCAAATATACATAAATTAGACCATTTAATATCATCCCACTGATTTTGGATGCTCTATTTTGTTTCATTCTTTTTCTTTTTATGTATTAGTTTATTTAATTTCTACTGACCTTTCCTTAAGTTAATTCTTTCCTCTGCTGTGTTCAGTGTAGTTTAAGCACATGAGGAGACATTGTCATTTTGGTTTTCATTTACAGCATTTTTATTTGCTTCTTTTTAATAGTTTACATTTTTTCATGGCATTTTCTACTCATTCACACGTTTTCTACCTTTCCCAAAACTCATTTAAAGAGTGTATCATTGTAGTTACAAATTCCCATCAGATAATTCCAATATTTGAGTCTATTCTGAGTCTGCATCTATTAATCATATTTTATTTTAGCTATGGGAAGCATTTTCTCATTAATTCACTTAACTTTTAATTTTTTATTATATCACAATTTTTTTGGTAAGAGAGCTATCTATATCTATCTATAACTGAATTAAGTAGTATTACTTTTTAAAAAAAGGTCAACTTATTTCTTCTGTCAGTCCACTGGTGTCAATATAACTAATAGCAGAGCTGAATTTAAGTTTGGGCCATGTGCAGTGGCTCACACCTGTAATCTCAGCACTTTGCGAGGCTGAGGTGGGTGGATCACCTGAGGTCAGGAGTTTGAGACCAGCCTGACCAACATGGTGAAACCCCGTCTCTATTAAAAATACAAAAATTAGCCAGGTGTGGTGGCAGACTCCTGCAGTCCCAGCTACTTGGGAGACTGAGGCAGGAGAATCATTTGAACCCAGGAGGTGGAGGTTGCAGTGACTCTGAGATTGCACCATTGCACTCCAAGCTGGGCGACAAGAGTGAGACTCTGTCTAAAGAAAAAAGGAAGGGAGGGAGAGAGGAAGAAGGAAAAGAAGGAAGGAAGGAAGGAGAGAGAGAGAGAGAGAAAGAAAGAAAGAAAGAAAGAAAGAAAGAGAGAAAGAAAGAAAGAAAGAAAGAAGGAAAGAAAGAAAGAAAGTTAGTTTGTGAGTCTTAGACTCAATCGACCAATGCTTCAACATTTTAAGAGTGAAAATAGGACCTTCCCTTTAGCAAGGATATGAGCCTTTCTTGTATTACAGGCCTACTAGAGACAAATCTGTCAGTGATTGTTATTTGAATATGTTTTTATTTTTAAAAGATATTTTCACTGGATATAGAATTTTGTGTTAGAATTTTTTTAGCACTTTATTATGGGAGATCACTTGTTTTAGAGCCTAGTTGCAAACGTTTTGACTTGCTGGGGAATTCTCATTGCTTTCAAATCCTGCCCTTGGCTTTTTGCATCTAGGAGACTTTCTACCCACTGTCCTGCACCCCAGCTTTTCTTTCTTACAGGTTTCAATAATCTATGATTTTTGTAGCTTGTCTGGCTTGTAGTACATTCTTTTGTGAATTTTTTCCCATCCTATAAGTAAACAAAAGTCTGATGTTTAGTTCTTATTTTAGAAATACTAAGGTGTTCTTTTCCTTTTATCAGCTGACTTTAGTTATATTTATTCAGAAGAATCTAATCTATCTTATAAGGGCATTTTACAAAACTGTGAATGTATTTTATGACCCTAAATGTACACACACTGCTAGGTAAACACAGTCAAGACAATCTATAAAGGTGTAAATTAAAAAGAAAAAAATCTTGGCTCTGGTATCTTTAAAAGTTAAGAAAAGAAGTTTTACATGTGACTGAGTGGTTGTTTTAGTGCCACAGGCCAAGTTTTAAATAACAGTAGTCAGAATTCTGTAAGTCAATGCTAACATTAAACTTAGGTGGCATGGTGCAGTGTTGCCAAGGTACCCATCTCCAGAGTGCTCTGGGGCTTCTCATGAAGTCATTTCAAGTCTTGTCCTCCCTTTCCTAATTCCTATGAGGTTAGAATTTAGAAGTGGGAGGACATTATTATTCCCTATTTGCTGCTGAGAAGCAAGGTGAAGTCACAAAAGTGCCAGGTATTTTTGCCCAAATCATAGAGCAGTCAGTCAATCAGAAGGAAGAATTCACAGGAGTGAAACTAGCCTGTCTTTGTCCTGATCCTGGTCAGTTGGCACCTAATCCCTACATGAAAAAATCGCCTATCTCATTTTAAATGTCTCTTGAGACAGCACTGAGCCATTGTGGTATTTAATAACCTTTAGATCAAGAATATTTGTTATGTCTGACTAAACTCTGACAATCTTCCCATGGCCTCAAGATCATCAAGCTTAAGGACCAGACTTAAATGGGAATAAATTGTCAGCTTCATACATTTTTAGGTACCTAAGAATGGTAGCCATACACCTAAGAGTTGTCTTGTCTCTCATGCTCAAATCTCCCTATAATTGAAACTTATTAATGTTTATGTGAAATATTCCTTGTTGAAACCACAGATTGGCCCTACTTTATAAAAGTAATATCTACTTTTAATTAAACGTTTTTGCTAAATGCCTCACATATGATGAGAGAAAAACCAAATTCTGTCAAAACATTAAAAGAGATTTATTCTTAGCAAATGTAAGTGCCCATAGCCCCAGGGAAACAGTCTCAAGAGGTCCTGAGAAGGTGTGCCCAGCGTGTTCTGGTAAGAGTTTGGTTTTATACATTTCAAGGTGACAGAAATTACAGGTAAAATCATAAATCAATACATAGAAAGTATACATTGGTTTGACCCAAAAAGTCAGGACATTTTGAAGTGGAGGCTTACAAGTCATAGACAGAGTTTAGGGATTCTTCAGTTGGCAATTAGTTGAAAGAGTTAAGCTTTGTCTAAAGTAGAAAGGAATGTTTAAGTTAAGATAAGGGGGTCTGTTACCTGTCATGTAATGCCATACCAGAGTCAGGTTGGAAAGTAAGCCACAATGTACTGGGTCAGGAAAGACCTGTTTAAGGACATTTTATGGTTTGCAAGGCATAACTCCTCAGGTTCCTTAGAAAGGAATTTGAGCAAGAAAAAAAAAGGTCAGCGCTAAATCCTCATATATATTATTTAATTTTTATGAAAATGACATCAAATATTATTTGATTTAATTTTCACAAAAATAAATAAGGTAGAAGCAGAGAAATATATAGAAGGCCATGTCTACACAATTCATGCATGGTAGAACTGGTATATGAAGGCAAGTATGTATGATTCCATTGCTCTTGTTTTTTCTATTCCTATAATCATTTTCTACTGTTTCTACAATGTATCAAACCAAATTTGGGAACAGTTTTCTATAAGACAAAATAACTTATTATGGGGTTTCTTTAAATCACAAATACCCCTGATGCACTTAGAACTTGATTTGATTATACATATTAGATTTACACTTTTTTTTTTTTTTTTTTGAGATGGAGTCTTGCTCTGTCACCCAGGCTAGAATGCAGTGGGGTGATGTTGGCTCACTGCAACCTCCGCCTCCTGGGTTCAAGCGATTCTTCTGCCTCAGCCTCTGAGTGGCTGGGACTACAGGTGCCCGCCAGCACTCCCAGCTAATTTTTGTATTTTTAGTAGAGACCCCATCTCTATAATTCACTATATTGGCCAGGCTGGTCTTGAACTCCTGACCTTGTGATCCCCCCGCCTCAGCCTCCCAAAGTGCTGGGATTACAGGTTTGAGCCACCGCGCCCAGCCAGATATACACATCTTTATGGGAGAAAATGTATTGTGCAATGTACAACTACACTCTTAATTGTCATCCCTGGTTTAATCCTTGTTAGAAGTAAGAGAAGCAATCTGTGAAAGAGAGATGAGTTTTATCCCACATAGGGCTTAAAAAAGAGGTAAGTAGTTGTTATATTTTGAAATTGGAAGATTTTACACAACAATAAGGAATTTTGAGCTGGTCTTGAGAGAATGGGCAATACTTGGCTTGCATTCCTACATGGTACACAGCAACAAAAGCCTTCAGAAAGGACATAAATTTACTGGAGCTCCACAGTTCTCTGGTCCCTATTGCTTCCTTCTTTGCATTAATTGTTTTGTTCTTGAATGCATTGAATTAACCATTTCTTTCTTTCTTTTTTTTTTTTTTTGAAATGGAGTCTCACTCTGTCTCCCAATCTGGAGTGCAGTGGCATGATCTCAGCTCACTGCAACCTTTGCCTCCCAGGTTCAAGAGATTCTTCTGCCTCAGCCTCCCAGGTAGCTGGGATTAGAGGCTCGTAGCACTATGCACAGCTATTTTTTTTTTCTTTTTTTTCAGTAGAGACGGGGTTTCACTGTGTTGGCCAGGCTGGTCTTGAACTCCTGACCTCAAGTGATCCGCCCATCTCAGACTCCCAAAATGCTGAGATTACAGGCATGAGCTACCACACGTGGCCAACTATTTCTATTTTAACATAGGTATACATTGCTTTAACCAAAGAGTTGAAGTGGTAGCAATGAGCTAACAAATAAGTACAGTCTTCACTGAAAAAGTGGGCACAACCCTCATTTTTAAAGGCCATTACCAATAACCATCTATGGAAGCACTGTTATGTTTTTTGTGTTAGGCATTCTGTTGTTCTTAGATTTCAGAATACATGGTTGCCCTGTAGCTTCAGTCTTCAATGTATTCTAGAAGAGTTGTGATTTGGTAGTTTATCTGGCTTTTTCTCAAGTCTGACTTTCAACTTTTTGCATTTTAAGTGGAGGAAGAACTTAGGCTTTTAAAAAATGCATATGAGCATTATTAACCTCACTATATCATGTATGGACAAAAGTAGTGACAATATTCAAAACATAGTAAGAAAAAGCATGAGGATGGAAACGTACAAGAAAATTACAAAAGTTTGCAAATCCACTGTGTGTATACACACACACAGAAACACACACACTATATATATATGTGTGTGTGTGCATATGTATATAATGTGTGTGTGTTCAGAAACATCTGTGGAAATTTTAATAAATAAATTTAAAAAGTTTAAAAAATCCACATTATGTGTATTTTGAAGTTGTATATGTTTCAGTTGGACTAAGTTCCAGTGTGGATTTATAAGCAAATACACTTGGGAAAAGCCTATCAAATTCTCTCCTAGTTACTGGGAGCCCCTCCTTTAGTTAGTTATTACCAGAGTAAAGAAACAAGGCAGGGAATAGTGACTTGGCTAGAACGGCAGCAGAAAACCACTCGAGGCAAAGCCTTACATCACAAGCATTGTTTCTATCTCATCCTTCAGGTGATGAGGCACCATTTATAGCTATGAGTAGAAAATTCACCTGACAAAAATTATGTTAGAAAATTAATTCCATCACAAGTCATTTAAAAAGAAATCTACATGGAAGATAAATGAAATATAATATAATATATAATAAAATAAAGATAAATAAAATGAAATATAATATAAAATATAATAGCCAAGAGGCTATTATAAACAATGAAGGTCTTACCTAAGGCTTTGTAGACGAAAAGAATGCCCACTTTCAAGAAATGGTTAGAAGCTATTGTCAACTAGATTGTGTGATACAGTTGAATAGAGGGCTGGGAGTGGGGAGTAATTGTTGTGAATCCCAGTCTGAATGGAGAGTATTCGCTTTTGTTTTGCTTGTTTTTTGAGACAGGGCTCTTTGTCACCCAGGCTAGAAGGCAATGGTGCAATCATAGCTCACTGCAGCTTCAAACTCCTGGGCTCAAGGAATCCTCCTGCCTTAGCGTCCTGAGTAGCTGGGACTATAGGCATATGCTGAAGTGGCATCATTTGTCTGGGGTAAATACCCAAGATTCGTTTTCTCATGGCCACGGAAAACTAGGATGCACACACACGAGAGTGAGGTTAAGAGTGGAAGTTTAAAAGGCGAAAGAGAAAAGCTCTCTTGCTACAGAGAGGGGTCCCAGAGAAATTGGTTGTCAGTTCTGTTGTGAAATGCAGTGGGTTTTGGCCGGGCGCGGTGGCTTACGCCTGTAATCCCAACACTTTGGGAGGCCGATGTGGGCGGATCATGAGGTCAGGAGATCGAGACCATCCTGGCTAACACAGTGAAACCCCGTCTCTACTGAAAATACAAAAAAATTAGCCGGGCGTGGTGGCGGGCGCCTGTAGTTCCAGCTACTCGGGAGGCTGAGGCAGGAGGATGGCGTGAACCCGGGAAGTGGAGCTTGCAGTGAGCCGAGATCGCGCCACTGCACTCCAGCCAGGGTGACAAAGCGAGACTCTGTCTCAAAAAAAAAAAAATGCAGTGGGTTTTATAGATGAACTTGAGGAGGCAGTGTCTGATTTACACAGGGCATGGAAGACTGCTTGGACCAGGTGTGCCATTTGCATAGGGCATGAAAAACTGGTTAGGGCTAGGGGTGCCATTTGCATAGGGCGCAAATTTCTGGTAGGCCCCACCTTAATCTTTTATTATGCAGATGGGTTCACCATGGCCTAGTTGGCACCATGTTTCCTGTTTCTTTATTGTACATATGGTGACAAAGAAAAGATGGAGCCTCCGTGTTGAACATACATGGCCCTCAGGTAGCCTGTTTCTATTGGTATAGCTGCTGGCTTTCACCCATGCAGACTTCCAGCTTGTTTCTCTCTGTCTGCAGCTCAATTTTTCAGGTTACTCTTTGTTAGAAAAGAAATGATTTTGGAGCTGCTTTTTGTTAAAGGGGAAATTCTGCCAACGACTCTGTTGCCCTTACTATCTGCCTAAATAATATCTATCTCCTATATCAATGCCACCACAACTGACTAATTTTTAAATATTGTTTTTATAGAGACAGGCTCTCATTATGTTGGCCAAATTGGTCTTGAATTCCCAGCCTCAAGCCATCCTCCTGCCTTGGCCTCCCAAAGTGTTGGGATTACAGGCATGAGCCACCATGCCTGGATCAGTATTGGCGTTTTTCAATGAGAAACTGAACCTAGGTGGAAGGGGACGTTGGCATGCTTTCTACACATCTGGGAAACTAAGAAATTATTTAAAATTAAAGGTGATGCATTTTCTCAATCAGATTTTTTTTCCTCCCAACTTATTTGGGGGATACACAATGTGTCATGTTTTTCTGTGTATACATTTTTCCCATCCTGCCTAGAAGTCACCCACATGATGGACCCTCAAGAAATATTTATTAATCAAATTCTCCCCTTCTCTATCCTTCAGCTGCGAGAGCTGGGATTAAGCCTCCTTATGGAAATGATAATCAATATTTTATAGTATCTTTCACCAGAGGCCATCAAATGTAATGACAGTCAAATATTTTTGTTCTTTTTCAAATTGGAAATCAATCAACATTATCCATTTTTTCATTACCACTTATACATGGTTGATCAAATGTTTATGCTGATGACTTTATTGCATTGAGGAAGGTTTCAATGCCACTGACCTTCTCCCTTTGAGTGCTTATTTTTCTAGCAGACAAAATTAGCAAGTGTGATAGACAAAGTTTGAAATATAATGTAGTATTTTTCCCAGTTCTTTACTAATGGTATTATTTTACAACACCTAATTTAATGTAGAATTTTATAGCTTAAAAATAATTTTATAGACATGATTTTATATAGTATGCAGCATAGCCATATAAGAAAACTGAAGATAAACAATCAGAGCTGCAAAATGATCTGCCTGTTTACTTGGTAGTTAGCAGTCAAATCAAAATTAGAAATTTAGATCTTCTGACTCATCCTGACACTTTACTCTAGGGTTCTCTGATACACACAGATGACGCTGTAAACTCACCCTGATGATGGGCATCCATTGAGGTCTTTGTTCCTAATGATAACTGAGAGATTGATAGGAATTCTCTTTAGGTATTGAGCCCCCATCCAAGTTCTCTAGACACATGTAGCAAGTAAGGCTTGTAAGCTCTTTTCCTTATTTTAAATATCCTAAGGCTGAAATCTCCTTTGCAAAAATTATAACATTGAGACCATTATGGCAGTAGGAAAGATCTGATCTAACCAACACCCCTCTTGCCTTTAGCCTTCAACCTGCCTTTAATTATTCTTAGGATTATGCCAAGCTAACTTTGGGATACATTTAGTTTATAGTTTAAATGATAATAGCCCTTCCCCAAAACTCAGCCACCTTTTTAAAGCATGGCTGGCCTCATGTCAATTAAGCTCTTTCTTTACTGCAATGCCATGGTCTCCCGAATTGCTTTTGACTATACAGTGGACAGGAAGGACCTGTCAGGTGGTTACAATGCCATGATGCACAGGCCAACTAAATCTCAGATTTCTTATTTTGATTGAAAGTGTATCAGTCCCAAGTGGTAATGCTGATCACTTTGTTCAGATTTATTTGGCAGTTTTACATCTCTGATATCTAAAACATGGCAATTTAATGTATTTAACAAACCCATTTTGCTTTGTAAACTGCAATCTTTCACAATATAGAGTTTCTAATACAGGTTGGGCAAGAATAGAAATGCTCAGATCTATATTATTATCCGACACCATATCAGTTAGCCTTGCTAAACTTCAATTGCTATATCTGCAAGTAACTCATTTAATATTTATTTAATAAATATTATTGAGCTGCTTCTATGTGCTAGCTACTATATGTAGCTTCTATATTATTATTGAGCTTCTTCTAAATACTATTGAGCTTCTTCTATGTTCTGGCACTAAAAACTGGATTAGAATTGCTCTTTTATATAGATATTGGTGATTTCAAACATAATGTGTGTAAAGTCCATGACCCTGTGCCATAGCTTGCTGGCTGACTTGGAAAATTAGGTCTAGGACCTGTCCTTTACCAGCCCCCTCTCCACATAAGTCAGCTCAACAACTGTGGACATCGTAGAGCCTGGGACACTGCAGAAAACATTCATGGTGCTGGTGCATCGTGAGTGAGTCATCAGAGGCAGAGGCAATGGGCAGGCTGATTAGAACTGAGACAGCTTCTGTTTACATATAAATATCCTGCTAATCAGTGATGACAAGAGAGGAAACATAGGCAAATGCCAGTTAAATGGAGTTTGAAGTTTTTAGAAAAGTACATTTGGTAGCGCTTGCCAGAGTGTGGCAGTGGTTCTTTAATTATACAGGAAGAAATCTTTAAAATGAATTGGCCTCAGGCTGAGTTAAAGGGAATAGTTTTGTAACAGGTTGTCAGAGAATGTCTCTGAAAGTAAGACTTTTCGTTGCTTTTACAAAATGATAGCACTTACATAGGTATCTATATTTCTCACTATGTGTTTGTATGTGTGTGTGTAGGGGAGAGGGATCTTTTTTGATTAATTACAAAGGAGATATTTTTTACATAGATTAATTATGGGTTCAGTCTCAGGTTTGCCTTATTTTATTTTATTTTTTTGAGACAGGGTCTTGGTCTGTTACCCAGACTGGAGTGCAGTGGCATAATCATAGCTCACTGCAGCCTCAAGTTCCTGGGCTCCACTGACCCTCCCACCTCAGCCTCCCTAATAGCCAGGACTACAGGCACATGCTACCATGCCCAGTTAATTTAAAAATTTTTTTTTTCATTTTTCAGACACAGGTTCTCACTATATTGGCCAAGGCAGGTCTCAAACTCCTGGTCTCAAGAGATCCTCTCTCCTTATCCTCCCAAAGCACTGTGATTACAAGTAAGACTGTTGACTGTGGTAACAGGCATGACTGTAGGCATGGTGTCCACCCACGGATATGCATTTTTTTTAATGCTCTTTCAGGAAGCAGTTCCTTTTAACATGTTCTACATCATGGAGCCCACTTTAGGTCCTGGCATTTTATAAGGTATACTCACCATTTATACATTTTGCAGTACCATTGGCTCCTTTTCAAATATACTCACGAATCCATTATAGACGCTCCTGATCAGTTCAAATGACTTCAAAACATTTTATCTTTTAGAATATAGCTTTGTTAGTATTTCAGGACAACTCTACCAAATCCTGCCTGGGGAAACTGTTGTACCTGCTAAGGGGAAGCAATAGGACATAGTGTCTGTTTATGTTTTAGCTTCAAGGGTACTTGAAAGATTAAGGAGTTAAAGAAATTCCATGAAGCCTAAGGCAGGTTTTTCTTCAATTTGTCCATTACTTTCTGTTACATTCCCAAGATTGTCCTTATATTAAAAAAGTAAAATAGCTAAAGACATATTTGGGGTCTATATGCCTTCCTTTTGATGTTCATCTTCCAGCCTCAATTGCTAGTCAAGAACTTCTGCCTTCCCAGGCTGCTTAGATTTCTGCTTTGTGCTTTGGTATTTTTATTTTTTCCTTTAGAGATAGAGTCTTGCTCTGTCCCTTGGGCTGGAATGCAGTGGTGGGATCATAGCTCACTGCAGCCTAGAACTCTTAGGCTCAAGAGATCTTCCCACCTCAGCCTCCTGAGTAGCTGGGACTACAAGCATGCACCACAACTCCAGGCTAATTTTTCAATTTTTTATAGAGATAAAGAGATGGGGTCTCACTACGTTGCCACAGCTGGTATCCAACTCCTGGCCTCAAGCAATTCTCCCACATTGGCCTTCTAAAGTATTGGGATAATGAGTATAAGCCACCACACCTAGCGATCTGGTAATTCTTATGCCCAAGTGTGCAAATACTCTATCAGATGTCCCTGAACATCTGTCTTCTAATCCAGTATTTCATGCTTTGGATAAATCTTCATCCAGGAGGCTATCCCTGGTTTAATTAAGAAATCAATTGCATTCTAGAACAGATTATAGCATAAGCATTAACCATTGCTAGCCAAATTCTTCATATTTATGGGAGCCTTCATGATGACACAAGATTTAACTTAGTCAGGAGAGTGAAACTAACACTCAGAATTGCAGACACTTTAATAGCCCTTGCAAAAAAACTATTTTATATTAAATGAGACTTTTGTATTTTGTCTGTCAAATTACTTCATATGGGAGGATGAAGTGATGGAGGATTTTCCATTCACACACAGGCTACACTTTCCTTCTGCCCTTGCCTTTATCCTGGAAACATAAAATCGTATTTGTATCATTTGTTTCAAGCTGACCATCCGTTTTTATAGTATCCATGAGCAAAACAAACAAATGAACACCCCAAAAACTGCCTTCCTAGTAGTTGCAGCTCTCATGAGAATGTCCCAAAAATCTGTCTTCAAATTGAGCTTCACAGCAAACTTGCAGTATGGAAGAACATGCATAAGGATCTCATTTTCAGGTGAAGAAATGAAAGTCCCACCAGGTTGGATGTTCTTGTGGCCATACTATAACTGGCTTAAGTCTGGCTGCTCACTGCTCAGAGGTCAAAGCCTGAGAAAGCAAGGTGTGGTAAAAGGAAAGCAGCTTTATTCAAATGCTAGCTGTTGGAGAATGGTCCTCTGTCTTTTTAAAAGGCCACTCCCACTTTGGAGGCTGAGCGAAGGGGTTTAAAAAGGAAAAGATGTGTGAAACATGCGGGAGTGGGGCAGGGGGATGCAGGTCTGTGTGTCTTTTTCCAGTGGTTATCTTGAGTAATTGCCCATCCAGAGGTTCAGTTGGCATCATCCTGACTTCGGCCCAGTGGTGGGGGGTTAACTGTAACTACCCCTAAGCGGGAGGATTCTGCAGCTGGATCTCTACAGCAGTTTGCCATGGTTACTACAGGACTGAACAAAGGGGGACGAACGCAGAAATGAAAACTTAAAACAAAAGTAACTATTTTAAAGGAAGGAGCCATTGGAAGAAGAAGAGGGCTCCCAGCTCCTAGTGATCAAGAGCAGCCACTTGAGCCTCTACAGCCCTTTGTATTTATTGGACAGAAAGAGCAGGGAGCAGGAGGCAACCGTTGGTCAGCTGCTTAATTGATCACAGGGTCACATTATTGCTAACAGGCTTCAGATGTGCCTAATTACAAGAAACACTGCACTTGGGGCATGACTGCCCTCAGCATTCCTTCTGGGCGGCAGACGCAGCTTGTCAGTTTGCCAATATTCTGCATTTATGAGAACAGTTTAATGTTTACTCATATAACCTCCAGTGGTATACAGAGTTGATCACGACCCTCACTCTTTTGGCCTGCAACAGATCTCTCTGTCTGGTTTGTTTTAACATTTCTCAGCATGCACATAATTGGATAAATGAGCACTGTTCACAGAAGTGCCTGGTGGGAAAAGGTAGAAACAAAGAGTTTCAGAATATGTTTCAAGGCTGAACACAAGAAAGGAAAACAAGTTTTAGAATGCATTTTGAGGTTCGTATACTTGATTACAATACAAGTCTTAAGTGGCAGAATTATTATTTAAACTCAAGTGTGTTGATTCTTAAATATCTGAGATTTCTATTACCATATTGCTTTTCTAAAGCACTAAAATTCAAACCCAAACGGTACTATCTTCATCATAATCTCAAATCATAAAAGCTCAAATCAGAGAAAGTATTTTTCTTCTAAACATTTCTTTTTCTTTAATGCTATTCTCCCATCACGCCCAGATCTACTTTTTTTTTCTTTTTGTCCCAGCATTAATAATGTTTTAATGTCTTTCTTACTATATTAATAGTGGGCTTTCTGGTTCATTCCCTCCCCAAAGCTCCTTGACGGCAAGATGATTTTGGGTTGCTTTGTTTTGGTCCAGTGCCTGGACCAAAGGTCAGCAAACCATAGCTTGCAGCTGGTTTTTGCATGACCTCTCAAACTAAAAATAGTTTTAACATTTTTAAAGGGTTGTTAAAAAATACTAAAGAAGAAGATGTGATAGAAACCATGTGTGGCTCACAAATCCTAAAATATGTATTGCCTGAGCCCTTCTAGAGAATGTTTGCTCACTCCTGGCCTAGAGTTTTGCCTGCACACGGTAGGGGCTCCATCTATTTGTTGAGTGAATGTGGGCAGGCATGCACATGTGTTGAAGTGGATTTCTTCCATGGAGTTAATTCCTGGCAATAAGGCCTATCCAACCTGAACTTCTCGTCCTCCCACTGTGAGCCACTGGCATCTGGCAAATCTGATGGTGTTTTCTAACTCGTTGTTATTTCCATCTCCATAGCACAGATGTAGGTTAGGCATCTCAAAATCAGGAGCTATTCATCAGCTAGTGGAGAATATTCATTGTTATTTGGGCTGTCACTGTAATTAGCTCATCTTTTAGAAGTCTTTGCTCCACGGCTTGTTTGTTATTGGAGACTTCTCCTCATCACCAGCATTCACATGCATATTAGCGTTTCAAAAAGCATATTGCTATTTTGATTTTTCCGAGGAGTTAAGATAAAATATTCAATATCTTTCTCATTCCCCCACCCCCTCCCAGCCCTTGAAGACAAAGCCCCTTGGTCTGCATGTAGCTAATGGCCAATATTCCAGGAAGCCTTTGATAATGGCCCACATAAGAGAGAAGAGCAGCCAAGCACAAAGTACACTGTAATAAGGTCACTAAAGCTGTAAATTACTGGTTTTCATCCTTAGATATGTCTTCCAGTGGCCTGAGAGAGTTTCGCTTCATTAAATGTGAGAAGTCGCAACTCAAGTTAAATCTCTCTAGAGATATTAAATTCTGGACATATGAGATTACACCAAATGATGCTCCCAACTTGAACAGCCCCAGCTTGAATTTAAAACCGTAAAACCCGCTATCTCACTTTCTTACCAGGGTTTCCTCTGTCTTCACTGTCCCCTTCCCCAAGTATCCCATCCCCTCCCTTAAAAATAGCATTTGAAATATCAGCCAGGGTTTTGGAACAGCCTGGCTGTCTGGCTGGCTGTTCTTCATGGCTCACTGATGATCCCCACAGGTTTTTAGAATCAAGCCCTGCCTCTGTCGTTCACAGCAGCCTTTCCTGGCTACATTTTAATTAACTCCGTATGGTACAATGATGATAATTTGGCCCAAAATAAAAGTGAGCCTGAGTTAATGCTGTTATCATTAGAAAGATTGAGGGAACAGAAGCAATTAGGAAGTTCTGGAAGTATTGAGGAGTGTGAAGGGAAAAAGAAGAAACTGGTGCCCCAAACTCATTTATCATATTAACAAATGTGAGAGCATGAGTTCTTGCGTGAGTTCTCCCCTGGGTCCTTTCCTTGACTGCATCTGCTAGTAAGTGCTATTTAACATCTGCACAACCTGTGTTTTCTTTATTATATGCATAGTACTGAGACCAGGCTTGCAAAATCCAGAGGGGACGGAGATGGACAACCTTTTCTGGATCACCTTTGTGATCTCTATTCATAGGGCTGGATGCCTTTTCTCAGTCACACCCTCTTCTTTTGCAATACATTTTCTTCATAGTTTTTTTTCAAAGTGGGGTGATCAAAAGACAAACTTGGGGTATCATCTACTTTTAGCAGTTTTCTATCCATTATTTTTCCCCCTAGTTGCTAGGCCACACCACTGGGTGTCCTGGCTCTCATTATAGTTCTCTAGTTACAAAGCATTCCCTCAACTCTGAGCAGGATTTTCTTTCCAAACTATTCCCAGAGCTGTTTCCTCTAATATAGTTTACCTATTATGTGTTTAATCTATGGGATGTTTTTACCAACTTGTTGTCCTGAAGAATGGTTCTAATATAAGCAAGTATTTACAACTGATAGCAATTTATGTATTGCCCTTTCCAGTGATATTTGCACCCCAATGTTGAATAATGGTATCAAGTTAAGTCCTTTTATGTCAGAGACAATTTTGGTTTGAGGTAGACCCTCCTGGACTCTGTGACATTTCTTAACTAATTTTGATACATATTGCCAAATTACTCCTAGGAACACTTAATTCGGTTGTACTAATAGTGTATACAAGTTTCCGTTTCATAAATTTCTTGATGATAATCCATAATATTTTCTGATAACTTTAACAATTCTATGGGCAAAAGTGCACCTTTAAAAATTTTTTAATTTCTTTGAAACTTTTTAAGTTTTAAGATTTTAAAATATCGGTGTCTGTTTTTCTTTTTAAAAAATTTCTGTATATATTAGTCCTACATATTTATTTTGAAGGTGTTTCAAGACAAATGACAAAATAATGTATGAAGATAGTAAACAAATACATACTGGACTCACAGGTAGAATTGCCAGATTAAATATAGGATGCCCAGTTAGGTTTAAATTTCAAATAGACAACACATTTTTTAGTATAAGTATATCTCACATATTACATGAGATATTTCTACTAAAAATACTCATTGATTATCTGAATTCAAATTTAAATGAACATCTTTTTTATTATTTGATAAATCTGAAAATTATATTCACAAATCTCTATCTTCAGTCCTATCTAAAACTATACTAAACTATCTTTAGTTTGGATTGCAGACTTAGTATCCAGTGGGCTCCTCAGCATTTCTATTAGGTTGATGCAAAAGTAATTGTGGTATTTGCCATTAAAATAACTTTTAATGTTAATAAGCTTTACTTTAAAAGTAATTAAAAATATCTTTTAAACTTTTAAAGTTTATTACCGTTAAAAGTTACTTTTAATGGCAAATACCACAATTACTTTTGCATCAACCCAATACTTGGAGGTCTATTAGGTATCTGCAAACCAATACGTCCATAAAATGTGTAAATGTCACATGTGCTCTGCCCTTTCCTAAGTCTGCTGTTATCCTTCTTTACTCATCTTAGTTAATTGTATCAGCATCTTTCTGAGGTCAACTATTCTAAGGGTTAGACTTTTTTTTTTCATATACACTCTCTTCATACTCTCAATACCTTAGCATGCTCTCCAAAATATAATATGCATGGGGTCCTACAACTTCTTGTCATCTCCATTGCTATCATCCTGATCCTAACTCCTTCCTTTCTTAACTAGATCATTGTAGAGCTTCTGAACTAACTGTCCTCTTTGCTAACCATTTTGCAGGTCCATCATTCATTCCCCAAACAGCAATGAGAATGATCAGAGCTTACAACCAACCCTCCAAGAGCTTCCCTCTGCAATGAGAAAACATCCAAACTCCTTTACCAGGGTTCCCAGGTTTCCTTAGCTTGCCTTCAGATTCAGAGCATTTGACTTGTTTTCCCCTTTGGGATACCCTTTTCCCCAAATTTCTTGGCTGCACATTTCTATTTATTTACATTTCAATGCAAGTTTCACTTCCAAAGAGACGACTTTTTTGATAACACAGACTGCTTTCCTAATGTTTTCCTTCACAGCACTTCTTACAATTTGTTGTCATTTGTTATTTTGCATGTTTTCAGTTTTAACTCCTCTCTCTAGAATGCAAAGTTCATAAGAGAAGATTTTTTTTTCTCATTTGTGCTGCATCCTCAATGTTTAAGATTGTGCCTAGTGGATGGATAACATGCGATAAATAATATATGCTGAATGCCCAAATGAATAAAGAACAAATGACACGTTAACATATACTGAATATTTACATTATGCAGGCACTTGGCTTAGGGCTTTGCATATTTATCCTGTAGTGTGATACGCAGACCTCAGTTGGGTCTTAGGTGACACCAGGCAATCAGATATACATCCCAGTCCATTTATTTCTCTACTTATTTTAGGTGACTGTTTCACCCCTTCTCCACTCTTTTCAAAATACCCAACAGCCCCATCTGCCTTCTTCAGTTTCAGAGATTTTGTCTCTTAACTTCACTGAAAAATTGAGGTAAACAGAAGAAGTGTGCCAAAGATTCCCACGACCACATCTACCCATGTAGAAGCATCTACACCTGTATACCTAATCTGAGATATCTGTGCTCTCATCCACAGTCAACATCAACACTTGCTTTTCAAATCCCATCTCTCTTCCCTATTTGAGGGCACTGTTGCAGACATGTTTCCCACTTTGTCTTTTTTTAATCAAATATTTACTCTTCATTATACTCATCAACAAAACATACTTTCATCTTAACCAAAAAAAATGAAAAAGAAGAAAAATTTAAACATATTTGCCTTTACTTTCTTGCAAGCTTCACTACTCATTTGCCAACTTTTGCTGTAAAACTCCTTGGTTGAGATGCTCTCCCTAATTTCTCTCCTCCCATAATATTCTTCCTCTCTCATTGAGATATAACTCACATACCGTAAAATTCACCCTATTCTCTATTAAAGCCACTTTAGTGAGGCATTTGTCCCACTAAATATTGCTACTAAATATTATAATTGGGATCTCTAATAACCCACTTGTTGCTAAATCTAGTAGTTAATGATCAATTTCCATCTAATTTGACTTATCAGAAGCATTTGACCTGCTAGCATTTATCACAACTGTCTTCCTTCTTTTTGATTCGCTTTCTTCACTTTGCTTTCAGGGTTTTTGGTATTCCTATGACTTCGCTGGCTGCTTCTTCTCAGTCTTCTTTGCTGGATCCTCTTTTTTCAAACTTCCTAATGGGGCACTCCAGGACTGAGTCCTTGGTCCTTGTCTCTTTATTTATACTTGCATTCTTCTTGTTCTCCTCCAGCCTTTTGGTTTTATATCTCGAGCGTAGACTTTACTCCTAAACTCTTCATTCGCATATGTAGCTGCCAATTCCACATCTTTACATGGACAATGAAGAGATAGCTCACATTCAACGTGTTCATATTTGGTAAGAAATGTGTCTATTTTTGGTAAGAAAAACCCCTAGTCTTTTTACCAAATATATTCCTCCTGCAGTTTTCCCACCTCAGCGAATGGTAACTCCATCTTTTCAGTTGTTCAGATCAGTTTGGTCAAAAACTTGACATCTTTGACTACTCCATTTTTCTTGTATTTCACATGTAGCCAATCTTAACCTTGGATCCATTTCTGTATACAGGATGTGACTATATCTCACAACCTCTCTTACTACTACCTTGGTAGTACAATACAATAACTTCTTTCCTGGATTACTGCAATAGCTCCCAACAGGTCCCCCTGACCCTACTCTTGTTCCCCTACAACCCAATCTTAGCACAGCAGCCAGAGTGACAATTTAAATGTAAGTTGGATTTTGTCATTCCTTTTCAAAACACTGCAGTGACTCTCCATTTAACTTAGAGTAAAAGCCAAAATATTACACAAAGGGAAGCTCGCAAATGTTCTGTATGAACTGGCTCCTCCTCACTTGCGGTTTCCTCTTCTACTATCCTCCTGTTTGTTCAGTCCACTCTGGCTCCATGGATCCTTGTGGTTTCTGCCTATGTGTGATTCTGCTTAGACCCTTTGATCTGGTTGTCCTGTTTGCCTAGAATACATTTCCCCAGATATCTGTTTGGCCAACTGCCTCCTATCTTCCACATCTTTGTTCATCACCATCTCAATGAGGCTGATTTTACACCACCTGGCACTTCATTTTTAAATTTTTTTGGCACAGCACTTTTGACTCCTGGAATGCTGTAAAATCTATTTATTATTTACATACTTCTACTGGCTAGAGTATAAATTCCTTGAGGTCACACATTTTTATTTGTTCATTAATGCATCCCAAGCACTTAACAACCTGTCAATAAATATTAATGAATATACGCAGTTGTTAGGAGTGTGGGCTCTGGAGTCAAACAGCTTGGGTTCAAATTTCATCACTGCCTTTAGTAGCTGAGTAACACTGCAAGGTACTTGGAATTTTGTGATATCATTACTTATCTGGAAAAAACAGGTAGTTAATAAGGTTATCTACCTCATGGAGTCAATGTTTAAGACTAACTAATTAATCTTTGATTAACTAAAATAACATGCAAATTAAAAAAATTTATACTGCACATATAGCAAACTCTCTAAAATTTTTAGCTATTACTTATTCTCTGCAACAATCTTATGAGATAAGTACTATTGTTATCCATATTTTCCAAGTAAGATAAATTGAAATGTAGAGAGCTAAGCAATTTGATAAGAGACACACACCGTAAATGGCAGAGCTGGGATACAAATTCAGTTCCATTTGACAACAAATTTAATGTTCAGTCTCTCCTTATAGCTTACGATGCCTTTGCAAATGGAATATAATTTTCCTATTACATCTCCTAACTGTTGGTATATAAGAAACTATTGATTTTTATGTATTTATCTTGTACAACCTATCATATGAGCTTTGTCCTTCTAATATTTAATTTAAACATTGTGTCAAATACTTATTTCAAAACTTATTTTAGGTTTTAGTATATTGTGGAAAAATTTCAGAAAATATTAATAACAGATGTAGTAGTACATCCCTGGTTGATTCAAGTAGTTTATTCTATCTATGGAAAAGCTTCTAATGCTTAATCTTTATTGCTGTGTTCACTGTGGACTTACAGGATGTGTTCTCTAACTTCTTATTCTTAAGAGGTATCTTCTTATTCTTAAAGTTTTGTATTTTTTATATCAAGAATGGTAGAATTTATCAACCACCTCCACATATTATTTTACAAAACCTTGGAAGGGTAAATGAAATAATAGTTGTGAATACCTATTCAATCTTAGGAAGAAAAGTCACTTATGAATTGCAGGTACCATACAAACAATAAGGATTGGAGGTATATCTGTTGCTATAATGTTGGGATATTTTGACAGAAACTTCACTTTAAACATATAGGGTAATGTATCAATCCTTTTTCCATGTGAAACCAAAGCTTCAGGCACCTGATAGAAAGGGCAGTGGCTCCTGTGGCTCCTAGAATCACACTATGTTCTGTCTTCCACTCTATTTCAAACCCTTTCTTTCTGCCATGACATCTCTTTTTCTCTTCTGGGGAAATTGACTATTATTTCCAAGTTTCTGCTGCCATATTTTTTAAGAAGGTAGTAATGCCCACCCACTGATATCAGGTGTGGTGACAGTGACTTGCACTGGCCAATAAAATGTGAACAGATGGCACATGTCATGTCTGAGCAGGATATTTAAAAGCCATTGTTTTATCATTATTCCTTTTCTCTCCATTACAAAAGCGTCATGGCCCATATGGGATCTTCTTTTTCAGTCTCAGTCTAAAAATAAATACAAGCAGCAGAACTACCTCCAATTGGTGGTGGACACTATCTTTCCTTAGGAAAGGGATTAAGTGTAACCTTGGATCCATTTCTATGTACAGGATGTGACTATATCTCACAACCTCTCTTACTAATACCTTGGTAGTACAATACAATAACTTATTTCCTGGATTACTGCAGGATTACTGTTAAGTGTATTATGGGAGTAAAGGAAGGGAAGCAAATAATTGTGACCAAGAGAGGAGCTTAGGAAATCACATTATTTTTCTTGAGCACTCTCTCTTGCATCCTTTAGGAGGATAATATATCCCTAACGCATTGCACCATGACCCACTTGGTCAATAAAATGTCAGTAGAAAGGGTGCATGCCACATCTAAGGAAAGCTTTGTCTTCCTGCCACAATCAGATCAGCTTTGCCTAGGTAGGGGCTGTTCCTTCAGCTCTATTTCCAGACTGAAGACAAATAACAACAGAAATGCATCGAAAACATAACGAGGAATGCATGAGATAAAGCTTACTTGTTCTAAGCCACTGATATGTTTGCAGTTCTTTGTTAATATTGTGAAAGCTGACTGATACACCTTCTCCTTCTTCAAACCCGGTTTCTATTTCTCTACCAACTAGGGTGACCAAAGTTTCGGAGAGCCAACCTGGGATATAGCCAGACCAAACAATATATTTTATGACCTTATCACAAATTTATGCAGAACAGGTATTAAAATAAAATTTATAGTATTCCATATTATTTACTTTTCTGTTACATAATTATGACAATAATAAATAGTTAATAGTAGAACTAATTAATGTATATGAAAAAACATAGCAGTATTTAATAATATTTCTTTTTGTTCTATAGTATAACAGTTTATTTTTAAATTCTTACAAAGCTCTTAGTTGGGTACATAAATTGGAAGGCTATTTATGTTATTTTCTAAAGCCTATAAATATAAGATATTTTAAAAGAACAAACTCATTAATATGACTAATTAAAAAATGTTACCTATATTTGATTTTAAAATGACATATTTTTGTGCCATACATATTTTTATTTTTTTCTGTTTACTTTCCTAATAATTCTTATTTGAATTCCCTGAAGCTTTTAGAATATTGTTCTTTTATGTAGTGGTAAAACTTAATGTAGTTAAGTGTTGTACAATTCACTTTGACTTGCAGATCTGTTTTTATTAAGCCCACCTTGCACTCATTCCTAATGTCAGTTCAATGTGAACTGAACATCAAGTCAAATATCTTTTAAACAAAAATATCTGAGTATGGAATACTTGAGATTTTACTTACTGCAAACAGCAGATTTTTAAACTTGCAGAAATTAGCTTACACCTCTGAAAACTGAATTTACTTTTTATTGACAGACTTATTTTGGTAGGCACCTATTTGTCAATCAAACCCTTTGCATCTTCAAATTTACTATATAGTGTATCTATGTCTACAATGTCATCATTTTAAATCATATTGGATGTCATCATAAGTTACACCTTTCTTTGTCAGAGAATATGGTTTTAAACACAGAGGTCATTTGAACTTCTGAAGTCAAAGTTGAATTCCAAATAAGTTAGAGTTTTAGCAAAGAAATTGAGAAAGTCCTGTTTAACTTGGCTGCCCTTTTCTAGTGACATTTCTTAAGTTCTGAGACAATCTTATTTTCAACCAAAAGAGTCATTTCATTCCAGTAAAAGTTTTCGTCTCAACCTACACTTAACATTGAACAACTCCAAGACAATCAGTTCATCTTTCTCCTTGTGTCCCATCAAGGATTACCAAATAAAAACCTAGGTCTGGCACAGTGGTGCACATCTGAAGTCCCAGCTACTTGGGAGGTGAGGTGAAGGCTCCCTTTTGCCCAAGAGTTTAAGTCCAGTCTAGACAACATACCAAGATTCTGCCTCTAAAATAGGGGGAAAATTACTAAATAGCTTTGGGAAAACAATACAAAAATGTTTGTTTTACTACAGTTCTTTTCTTTATTCTCATCCTCAATGTATTCCCATATTAGAGATAGTCATTTTTTTTGCTGCACTCCTTGAAAATATGATTTTATGGAGGGACAACATTTTAATATCTTTTTCATGGCCTGCAACGATCACAGCCATCTTGCAGGATTGTGCCTACGTGGCTGTAGCCTTCCATTTCTGTAAAGCAAAATGTCAGTAAGTGCTTCTACACATTTTGAAGAAACTGCAAGTGACCCAAACTTCAGTATAAAAGCACTATATTTCAGCTCAACAGATCACAACTCCTTGTAACGTTATCGTGTATAAAATGTGCAGGATATTAGCAGTTAAGATAATTTTCTGTCTTGCATAAGAAATCACAGACTGAATGGAATTTGCCAAAATGGAATTTGCCACAATTTACATTTGCACTGTCTACTGAATATGCAGATAGATGACCTGCATAGAGGCTGTAAAGGACTAACACATATGTTATCAAAATTTCCACTTTTGTTTGTCCACATTTTAGTTGCAATATTTGAATCAGGAACTATAAGTTTGCTCAGTTTCATAGAATAATCAAGAGAGCGATGGGGCAGTGTATGTGCACATTCCCTGGCAGGTCCAAATTCATTGATGCCTAATATTTTCAAGAGGAGCATTGGTGATATTTAAAAAAAAAAAAAAAGAAAAAAGTATTGATTTAGCAGTACTTTCCTACCTTACACCGAATTTGTGAGATTCCATGTCCATATGGACTGATACATCTCTTTCTTCATTGTGCTCAATCCCAAATTATTTTTGACATATTGTATAGAATGCTCTGTTTTGGTTATTTTCTTTCCTAATCATATCACCTGTCATTGTATCAACACAGCTATTTAGCCTTCTTTTTGTGGTGATGTCTAGCATTGATATTGTCACCATTCTCATTTTTACTACCCAAATTCTTAGAAAACGTGGTCACCATATTTAGAATGTTCAAAATTAAACGGCATCATCTTGATAAAAAAAAGAACACTTTATTCAGAGATTGTTAATGCTCATGATTACAATGTGCTTAAGTTGCACATTTAGGTCACATTTAAGTTACTTGGGGTGATGGAACAATGGCTGAGCTACTGTGCTTAAACCACAAAACACAGTTGCCAACATCAGCAGTCAGCAGACAAATCCGTGACAGCAACTCCAGCAGGTAAGCCATCTATGTCTTAGTCATTTAATACTAAAAACAGTGTTCCTTTCAGACCTACTATGTTTTGGAATATTTAGTGGGGTTTTCTGTTTATCCCTGAAACTTTTGCACTGATGACTGAATTCCAGGACTTTTGCATTCCAGAGAAGAGTTCCCTGGGATGCTGAACCGTCAGTGCTGAAACCAGGGTAGTTCTAGACAAGCCTGGAAGGTTGGCCACAATAAGACCATCCCTCTCAGTGTGTTGTCTCATGTGGCTGTTTGCCAAGACACACTTGGGACACCTGTGGCTTCTATTATCTTCTATTGTCACCTTTGGCTTCATCTTCTAGAGCTCTAATGTTAGTCACCAGGACCCCTGGACTCCAAAGTCTAAAGAGGTTCTCTTTTCAGAGGAACATATTACAACACTTATCTTTTATTATTATTATTATTTCAATAGATTTTTGGGGAAGAGCTGGTGTTTGGTTACATGAATAAGTTCTTTAGTAGTGCTTTCTGATATTTTGGTGCACCCATCATCCATACCCAATGTGTAGTCTTTTATCACTCGCCCCACTCTCATCCTTTTCCCGGAGTCTCCAAAGTACATTGTATGATTCTTATGCCTTTGTGTCCTCATAGCTTAGCTCCCACTTATGAGTGAGAACATTCAGTGTTTGATTTTCCATTCCTAAGTCACTTCATTTAGAATAATGGTCTCCAATTCCATCCAGGTTGCTGTAAATGCCATTATTTTGTTCCTTTTTATGGCTGAGTAGTACTTCATGGGATACTACTCATATATATATATATATATATATATATATATGTATATATATATATATATATATATATATATATATGTATATATATATATATATATATATATATATATGTATATATGTATATATATATAAATAAGTGTATATATATAAATAAGTATATATATAAATATATATATAACATTTTCTTTACTCACTCATTGACTGATGGACATTTGGGCTAGTTTCATATTTTTGGAATTGCTAATTGTGCTGCTATAAACATGTGTCTGCAAGTTTTTTTTATATATATAATGATTTCCTTCCATCTGGGTAGATACCTAGAAGCGAGATTGCTGGATCAAATGGTAAATATACTTTTATTTTTTTAAAGAATCTCCACACTGTTTTCCACAGTGGTTGTGTTAATTTACATTGCCACTAGCAGTGTAAAAGTGTTCCCTTTTCACCACATCCCTGCCAACGTCTATTTATTTTTTTAATTTTTTGATTATGGCTATTCTTGCAGAAGTAAGGTGGTATGCATTGTGGTTTTGATTTGCATTTTCCTGATCATTAGTGATGTTGAGCATTGTTTCATATGTTTCTCAGCCATTTGTATATCTTCTTTTGAGAATTGTCTATTCATGACCTTAGCCCAATTTTCAATCCATTGTTTTTTTCTTGCTGATTTGTCTGACTTCCTTGTATATTCTGGATATTAGGCCTTTGTTGGATATACAAATTGTGAAGATTTTCTCCCACTCTGTGGCTTGTTTATTTATCCTGCTGAGTATTTCTTTTGCTTTGCAGAAGCTGCTTAGTTTAATTAAGTCTCATCTATTTATCTTTGTTTTTGTTGCATTTGCTTTTAGGCTCTTAATCATGAAGTCTTTGCCTAAGTCAATGTCTAGAAGGGTTTTTCTGATGTTATCTTCTAGAATTTCTGTGGTTTCAGTTCTTAGATTTAATTTTTTGATCCATCTTGGGTTGATTTTTGTATAAAGTGAGAGATGAGGATCCAGTTTCATTCTCCTACATATGGTTTGCCAATTATGCCAGCACCTTTTGAGGAATAGGATGTCTTTTCCCCACTTTATGTTTTTGTCTACTTTGTCGAAGATCAGTTGGCCTTAAGTATTTGGGTTTATTTCTGTGTTCTCTATTCTGTTCCATTAGCCTATATGCCTATTTTTATACCAGTACCATGCTGTTTATAGTTTGAAATTGGGTAATGTGATGCCTCCAGATTTGCTCTTTTTGCTTAGTCTTGCTTTGGCTATGTGGGCTCATTTTTGGTTTCGTATGAATTTTAGAATTGTTTTTTCTAGTTCTGTGAGAAATGATGGTGGTTTTTTTATTGGAATTGCATTGAATTTTAGATTGCTTTTGGCAGTACGATCATTTTTATAGTATGGATTCTACCCATCCATCAGCATGGGATGTGTTTCCATTTGTTTGTATTGTCTATGATTTCTTTTGGCAGCGTTTTGTAGTTTTCTTTGTAGAGGTCTTCACCTTCTTGGTTAGGCATATTCCTAAGAATTTAATTTAATTTAATTTAATTTTTTATAGCTATTGTAAAAGTGGTTGTGTTCTTGATTTGATTAGTTGCTTGGTTGCTGTTGGTGCATAGCAGAGCTACTAATTTTTGTATATTAATTTTGTATCCTGACACTTTGCTGAATTCATTTACCAGTTCTTGGAGATTTTTGGAGGAGTCTGTAGGGTTTTCTAGGTATACAATCATATCATTAGCAAACAGTGACAGTTTGACTTCCTCTTTACTGATTTAGATGCCCTTTATTTCTTTCGCTTGTCTGATTGCTCTGGCTAGGATGTCCAGTATTATGTTATGTTGAGAAGAAGTGGTGAAAGTGGGCATCCTTGTCTTGTTCCAGTTGTCACTGAGAATGCTTTCAATTATTCCCTATTCAGTATAATGTTGATTGTAGGTTACCTTAAGTTACATCTCTTCTATGCTGATTTTGCTGAGGGTTTTAATCATAAAGGGAAGCTGAATTTTGTCAAATGCTTTTACATTTGACATTGAGGTGATCATGTGATTTTTGTTTTTAATTCTGTTTATGTGGTATATCACATCTATTGGCTTGCATATGCTGAACTAACCCTGCATCCCTGGTATGAAACCCACTTGATTGTGGTGGATTATCTTTCTGATATGCTGTTGGTTTCGGTTAGCTAGTATTATGTTGAGAATTTTTGCATCTGTGTTCATTAGGGATATTGGTCTGTAGCTTTCGTTTTTTGTTATGTCCTTTCCTGGTTTGGTATTAGGGTGATACTGGCTTAATAGAATGATTAGGGAGGATTCCCTCTTTCTCTATCTTTTGTCCATTTTTTTATTTTTGAGACAGAGTCTCACTCTGTCGCCCATTGCCCAGGCTGGAGTGCAGTGGTGCCATCTTGGCTCACTGCAAGCTCCGCCTCCTGGGTTCATGCCATTCTCCTGCCTCAGCCTCCCAAGTAGCTGGGACTACAGGCACCCACCACCACACCTGCCTAACTTTTTAATAGAGACGGGGTTTCACCGTGTTAGCCAGGATGGTCTTGATCTCCTAACCTCATGATCCGCCTGCCTCAGCCTCCCAAAGTGCTGGGATTACAGGTGTGAGCCACTGCACCCGGCTAAGTCCATTGTTTCTATGTTGACTTTCTGTCTTGATGACCTGTCTAGTGTTGTCAGTGGAGTATTGAATTCCCCCACTATTATGTGTTGCTGTCTATCTTATTTCTTAGGTCTAGTAGTAATTGTTCTATAAATTTGGGAGCTCCAGTATTAGGTGCATATATATATATATGACTGTGATATTTTCCTGTTGGAATAGTACTGTTATCACTATATAATGTCCCTCTTTGTCTTTTTTAACTGCTGTTGCTTTAAAGTTTGTTTTCTACTCCTGCTCACTTTTGATTTCCATTTCAATGGAATATCTTTTTCCAACCTTTTACGTTAAGTTCACATGAGTCCTTATGTGTCAGGTGAATCTCTTGAAGACAGTAGATACTTGGTTGGTGAACTCTTATCCATTCTGCCATTCTGTATCTTTTAAATGGACCATTTAGGCCATTTGCATTCAATGTTAGTATTGAGATGTGAGGCATTATTCTATTCATCATGCTATTTGTTGCCCGAATACCTATTTTTCCCACTGTGTTATTGTTTTATAGGTCCTGTGAGATTTATGCTTTAAGATGTTTTAATTTTGGTTTATTTTGAAAATTTATTTCAAGATTTAGACCTCCTTTTAGCAGTTCTTATAATGCTGGTTTAGTAGTGGCAAATTCTTTCAGCATTTATTTGTCTGATAAAAGACTGTATCTTTCTTTCACTTATGAAGCTTGGTTTTGCTGAATACAAAATACCTGGCTGATAATTGTTTTGTTTATGTAATCTAAAGATAGGACTCCAATCCCTTCTAGCTTGTAGGGTTTCTGCTGAGAAAACTGCTGTTAATCAGATAGGTTTTCCTTTATAGGTTACCCAATGCTTTTGCCTCACAGCTGTTAAGATTCCTTCATCTTGACTTTGGATAATCTGATGACTATGCGCCTAGGTGATAATCATTTGTGATGAATCTCCCAAGTGTTCTTTGAGATTCTTATGTTTGGATGTCTAGATCTCTAGCAAGGCCAGGGAAGTTTTCCTCGATTATTCACTTTGAAGGAGGTAGATTGCTGCTGCAGGCTCCCTGGGACAGCCCAGGAGCCATGAGTCAGCTTGCTTTATCAGGGAAGGCTTGTAGCCTGGGGCAAGTTCTCAACCCTGCTCACTGGTTGCCTGGAAATAAACTCAGTGCTGTTGGAGGGGACATGGTGAGAGTGAGACCAGCCTTTTGGGCATTGGACTGCATGAGGGCTGGAGGAGGCCTGTGGTTGCTGGCTTTCCCCCACTTCCCTGGCAACCTGTGTGATGCACAAAAGGCAGCCATAATCCCCTGGGAACATAACACCATTGGACTGGGAGCCATGTCTCCATCCCCACAGCAGCTGCAGCAAGCCCTGCCCAAGGAGAGTCTGAGCTCAGACACACCTATCACACACCCCAGCCTGGTGGTCTTTCTCTATGCAACCTGGTAGCCAAAGACAAAGGACACAATCTCTTGGAAGCTCTATGGCCCTGCCTACTGCCTGAGAAACCTGAATACTTATCCAAAGGTGACCCTAGGGCAAGCTTGTATCCTCCCTATTATACCACAGCTAACGCACTCTTGAAAGTGCCACCTCCTGGTGGGAGGCCAACCAACACAAAACCAGCAGACAACAAAAATACAACCAAGGACCCTTACAGAATCTACTTCACTCCCTTGCTACCTCCACTGGAGTAGGTGCTGGTATCCATGGCTGAGAGACTTAAAAATGGATCACATCACAGGATTCTTTGCAGACACTCCCCAGTACCATGCTGGAGCCCAGTAGCTCCACTGGGTGGCTAGATCTAGAAGAGAAATAACAATCACTGCAAGTAGAAGGATTCAATATGGCTGAATAGGAACAGCTCCAGTCTGCAGCTCCCAGCAAGATCGACGCAGAAGGCAGGTGATTTCTGCATTTCCAAATGAAGTACCTGGTTCATCTCACTGGGACTGGTTGGACAGTGGGGGTAGCCCACAGAGGGCAAGCTGAAGCAGCGTGGGTCGTCACCTTACCTGGGAAGTGTAAGGGGACAGGGAATTTTCTCCCCTATCCAAGGGAAGCTGTGAGGGTCTGAGCCTGAGGAACATCGGCACAGATATTGCACTTGTCCCACGGTCTTTTCAACCCTCAAACCAGGAGATTCCCTCCAGTGCCTACCCTACCCAGGCCCTGGGTTTCAAGCACAAAACTGGGCGGCCAGTTGGGCAGACATCAAACTAGCTGCAGGAGTTTTTTTTGTTTTTTTTCTTTTTTCCATACCCCAGTGGCTCCTGAAACGCCAGTGAGATAGAATTCTGCACTCCCCTGGAAAGAAAGGATGATGCTAGGGAGCCAAGTGGTCTGGCTCAGCAGGTCCCACCCCCATGGAGCCCAGGAAACTAAAATCCACTGGCTTGAAATTCTTGCTGCCAGCACAGCAGCAATCTTGAGTTCCACCTGGGATGTTCCAGTTTTGTGGGGGGAGGGGTGTCAGCCATTGCTGAGGCTTGAGTAGGAGGTTTTATGTCACAGTGTAAACAAAGCTGCTGGGAAGTTCCAACTGGGCAGAGCCCACTGCAGCTCAGCAAGGCTGCTGTGGTCAGACTGCCAGATTCTCCTCTCTGGCCAGGGCATCTCTGTAAAAAAAGGCAGCAACCCTAGTTAGGGGCTCATAGCAGACTTAAACATCCCTGCCTGACAACTCTGAAGAGAGCAGTGGACCGCCTAGCACAGGGTTCAAGCTCTGCTAAGGGTCAGACTGCCTCCTCAAGTGGGTCCCTGAGCCCCGTGTATACTGACTGGGAGACACCTCCCAGTAGAGGCTGACAGACACTTCATACAGGAGAGCTCTGGCTGGCATCTGTCAGGTGCCCCTCTGGGTTGAAGCTTCCAGAGGAAAGAACAAGCAGCAATCTTTTCTGCTTTGCAACCTCTGCTGGTGATACCCAGGAAAACAGGGTCGGGAGTGGACCTCCAGCAAACTCCAGCAGACTGGCAGCATACAGGCCTGACTGTTAGAAGGAAAAGAAACAGAAAGGATTAGCATGTCCACTCAAAGACCCCATCAGAAGGTCACCAACATCAAAGACCAAAGGCAGATAAATCTACAAAGATGGGGAAAAACCAGTGCAAAAAGGCTGAAAATTCCAAAAACCAGAATGCCTCTCCTCCTCCAAAGGATCACAACTTCTCACTAACAAGGGAACAAAACTGGATGGAGAATGAGTTTGATGAACTGACAGAAGTAGGCTTCGGACGGTGGATAATAACAAACAACTCCGAACTAAAGGAGCATGTTCTAACCCAATGCAAGGAAGCTAAGAACCTTGAAAAAAGGTTAGTCGAATTGTTAACTAGAATAACCAATGTAGAGAAGAACATAAATGACCTGATGGAGCTGAAAAACACAGCACGAGAACTTTGTGAAGAATACACAAATATCAATAGCCGAATCGATCAAGCAGAAGAAAGGATATCAATGATTGAGATCAACTTAATGAAACAAAGTGTGAAGTCAAGATTAGAGAAAAGAGAATAAAAAGGAATGAACAAAGCCTCCAACAAATATGGGACTATGTGAAAAGACCAAATCTATGTTTGACGGGTGTACCTGAAAGTGATGGGAAGAATGGAACTAAGTTGGAAAACACTCTTCAGGATATTATCCATGAGAACTTCCCCAACCTAGCAAGACAGGCCAACATTCAAAATCAGGAAATACAGAGAACACCACAAAGGTACTAATCGAGAAGAGCAACCCCAAGACACATAATTGTCAGATTCATCAAGATTGAAATGAAGGAAAAAATGTTAAGGGCAGCCAGAGAGAAAGGTCAGGTTACCCACAAAGGGAAGCTCATCAGGCTAACAGTGGATCTCTCTGCAAAAACCCTACAAGCCAGAAGAGAGTGGGGGCCGATATTCAACATTCTTAAAGAAAAGAACTTTCAACCCAGAATTTCATATACAGCCAAACTAAGATTCATAAGTGAAGGAGAAATAATAGCCTTTAAAGACAAGCAAACGCTGAGGGAGTTTGTCACCACCAGACCTGCCTTACAAGAGCTCCTGAAGGAAGCATTAAACATGGAAAGGATCAACCAGTACCAGCCACTGGAAAAACATACCAAATTGTAAAGAACATTGACATTATGAAGAAACTGCATTAACTAATGGGCAAAACCACCAGCTAGCATCATAATGACAGGATATCAAATTCACACATAAAAATATTAACCTTAAATGTAAATGGGCTAAATGCCCCAAATAAAAGACACCAACTGGCAAATTGGATAAAGAGTCAAGACCCATCATTGTGCTGTATTCAGGAGACCCAACAAACATGCAAAGACACACATAGTCTCAAAATAAAGGGATGGAGGAATATTTACTAAGCAAATGAAAAGCAAAAAACAAACAAACAAACAAAAACAACAAAGATCAGAAGAGACAAAGAAGGTCATTACATAATGGTAAAGGGAACAATGCAGCAAGAAGAGATAACTATCCTAAATATATATGCACCCAATACAGAAGCACCCAGATTCATAAAGCAAGTTCTTAGAGACCTACAAAGAGACTTAGACTCCCACACAATAATAATGGGAGACTTTAACACCCCACTGTCAATATTAGACAGATCAATGAGACAGAAAATTAACAAGGACATTCAGGACTTGAACTCAGCTCTGGACAAAGTGGACCTAATCGACATCTACAGAACTCTCCACCCCAAATGAGCAGAAAATACATTCTTCTCAGCACCTCATCACACTCATTCTAAAACTGACCACATAATTGGAAGTAAAACACTCCTCAAATGCAAAATAATGGAAATCATTTTGCATCTTGGAAACCAGTGAGAACAAAGACACAACATACCAGAATCTCTCAGACACATTTAAAGCAGTGTGTAGAGGGAAATTTATAGCACTAAATGCCCACAAGAAAAAGCAGGAAACATCTAAAATAGACACATTAACATCAAAAGTAAAAGAACTAGAGAAGCAACAGCAAACAAATTCAAAACCTAGCAGAAGACATGAAATAACTAAGATCAGAGCATAACTGAAGGAGACAGAGACATGAAAACCCTTTCAAAACATCAGTGAATCCAGGAGCTGTTTTTTTTGTTTGAAAAAATCAACAAAATAGATAGACTGTGAGCCATACTAATAAAGAAGAAAAGAGAGAAGAATCAAATAGAAACAATAAAATATGATATAGGGGATATCACCACTGATCCCACTGAAATACAAACTACCATCAGAGAATACCATAAACACCGCAACACAAATAAACTAGAAAATGTAGAAGAAATGGATAATTTCCTGGACACATACACCCTCCCAAGTCTAAGCCAGGGAGAAGTCGAATACCTGAATAAACCAATAACAACTTCTGAAATTGAGGCAGTAATTAATAGCCTGCCAACCAAAAAAAGTCCAGGACCAGATGGATTCACAGCTGAATTCTACCAGAGATACAAAGAGGAGCTGGTACCATTCCTCCTGAAACTATTCCAAACAATTGAAAAGAGGGAATCCTCCCTAACGCATTTTATGAGGCCAGTATCATCCTGATACCAAAGGCTGGCAGACACACAACAATAAAAGAAAATTTCAGGCCAATATCTCTGATGAACATCGATGTGAAAATCCTCAATAAAATACTGGCAAACTGAATCCAGCAGCAAATCAAAATGCTTATCCACCATGATCACCTCGGCTTCATCCCTGTGATGCAAGGCTGGTTCAATATACGCAAATCAATAAACGTAATCCACCACATAAACAGAACCAATGACAAAAACCACATGATTATCTCAATAGATGCAGAAAAGGCCTTTGATGAAATTCAACAACCCTCACGCTAAAAACTCTCAATAAACTAGGTATCGATGGAACATATCTCAAAATAATAAGAGCTATTTATGAGAAACCCACAGCTAATATCATACTGAATGGACAAAAACTGGAAGCATTCCCTTTGAAAACTGGCACAAGACAAGGATGCCCTCTCTCATCACTCCTATTCCACATAGTATTGGAAGTCCTGGCCAGGGCAATCAGGCAAGAGAAAGCAATAAAGGATATTCAAATAGGAAGAGAGGAAGTCAAATTGTCTCTGTTTGCAGATGACATGATTGTATCTTTAGAAAACCCCATTGTCTCAGCCCAAAATCTCCTTAAGCTAATAAGCAACTTCAGCAAAGTCAGGATATAAAATCAATGTGCAAAAATTGCAAGCATTCCTACACACCAATAACAGACAGAGAGCCAAATCATGAGGGAATTCTCATTCACAATTGCTACTAGGAGAATAAAATACCCAGGAATATAACTTACAAGGGTGTGAAGGACCTCTTCAAGGAGAACAGCAAACCACTGCTCAGGGAAATAAGAGAGGACACAAACAAATGGAAAAACATTCCATGCTCATGGGTAGGAAGAATCAATATCATGAAAATCACCATGCTCCCCAAAGTAATTTATAGATTCAATGCTATCCCCATGAAGCTACCGCTGACTTTCTTCACTGGATTGGAAACAACTACTTTAAACTTCATATGGAACCAAAAAAGAGCCCGCATAGAAAGACAATTCTGGGCAAGAAGAACAAAGCTGGAGGCATCACACTACCTACTTCAAACTATACTACAAGGCTACAGTAACCAAAACAGCATGCTACTGGTACCAAAACAGAGATATAGAACAATGGAACAGAACGGAGTTCTCAGAAATAACACTACACATCTACAACCATCCGATCTTTGACAAACCTGAAACACACAAGCAATGGGGAAAAGATTCCCTATTTAATAAATGGTGTTGGGAAAACTGGCTAGCCATATGCAGAAAACTGATACTGGACCCCTTCCTTACACCTTGTATGAAAATCAACTAAAGATGGATGAAAGACTTAAATGTAAGACCTAAGACCATAAAAATCCTAGAAGAAAACCTAGGCAATACCATTCAGGACATAGGCATGGGAAAAGGCTTCATGTCTAAAACACCAAAAGCAATGGCAACAAAAGCCAAAATTGACAAATGGGATCTGATTAAACTAAAGAACTTTGCACAACAAAAGAAACTATCATCAAAGTGAACGGGCAACTGACAGAATGGGAGAAAATTTTTGCAATCTATCCATTCAACAAAGGGCTAATATCCAGAATCTACAAATAACTTAAACAAATTTACAAGAAAAAACCAAACAACCCCATCAAAAAATGGGTGAAGGATATGAACAGACACTTCTCAAAAGAAGACATTTATGCCGCCAACAGACATATGAAAAAATGCTCGTCATCACTGGTCATTAGAGAAATGCAAATTAAAACCACAATGAGATACCATCTCACACCAGTTAGAATGGCGATCATTAAAAAGTCAGGAAATAGGCCGGGCGCGGTGGCTCACGCCTGTAATCCCAGCACTTTGGAAGGCCGAGGCAGGCGGATCACGAGGTCAGGAGATGGAGACCATCCTGGCTAACACGGTGAAACCCCGTCTCTACTAAAAATACAAAAAATTAGCCGGGCGTGGTAGCGGGCGCCTGTAGTCCCAGCTACTCGGAAGGCTGAGGCAGGAGAATGGCGTGAACCCGGGAGGCGGAGCTTGCAGTGAGCTGAGATCGCGCCACTGAACTCCAGCCTGGGTGACAGAGCGAGACTCCGTCTCAAAAAAAAAACAAGAAACTAATACATGTAGGCACAAAAAGACCTGTTCATAACCATACTGTGTAATTCCCCCAAACTGACAAAAATCCAAATATCCATTATCAGCAGAATAGTTAATAATATGATTGTATACTTATACAATGGAATATTATACAGTAACAGGAATGAACAACTACTACATATGTGAACATAGATGAATCTTACAAGCATAACCTAGAAAAACAAAACAAAACAAACACTATAGACACACAAAAAATCATGCACTATATGCCTCTATGTATATGTAACTCAAAAACCAGCAAAACAAATCCATGATGACTGAAGTCAAGATATTGATTGTCTTAAGGTAATTAGTGACTGGAAAAAAGTAATAAACTCCTCATTTTGGATATTTGTTCTGAATACATCATTGTGTTTACTTTGGAAAAATTTACTAAGGTGTACGCTTATGATTTAGGATGTTGTATTTCAATAAAATGTTTTCTTAACAAATATCGAACCTTCCTCAATAAGGCATAACTATGCCTATTAATTTCAGGGTGAGGGAAAAGCTTAGATTAAGTAGATTTGGGAATAAAGACAATATTTAATATTTGAGGGATATCCAATCTTAATTCTTGCAATTCTGCTGAAAATGTCAGACAGATTTCTAGAATCATTAAGCACATTATCTGGAGTTTATGTGGATTGAGGCTACAAATAGCTGGCTGTCAATTGGTCAATGAACTGGACATTATAACGTGATCCTTTTAGGAAATGTGCAAGCAATTCTTGGTATTGTTTGTAAAGTACTGTGAGAAGAAAATGTGAGACATATATAAAGTAATATTCTATTTATCAAACAATGAGGTATCACTGATCTGGTGTCCTGGTTTGCATCTAATTAAACTCATATTATTATAGATATTACTGCATGCCCTGTGCCACATATCGGTTTGGTCGTAAGAGAATCTTAAGTGTAAGTGCTGAGATCTGAGAGAATAAACTCTGTGTTTCCAAGAAGCCCTCAGGATAAAGTGTCTTCTCTGCCTTTTTCTTCTGACAACTAGTTAGTACTTTTTAAAAATTGAAATCTGACTCCACTTAGCTTGGGGCAACGCTGCTGTGGTCATCATGGATCACAAAGTATTGTGGCCTCTTTAGAAGTCTGAGTGAATAATTTAATAATGGCCAATAAATATAATAAGTTCCTTCAGCCTAACCCTGCCCTTACTTGTGGGACCGATTAATAAAGGTGAAAAGTGAGTCATGTAAGTGGTGCATTGATTCTTTTAGAAGCCATTGAAATACTCTGACCACAAGGGAAATCATGGAGACAAGATTTGGCTGAGCTATATGGCCCATCAGGGATAGACCCGTGAGTGGAGTGCAGGAGGGTTGCAAACTCCTGTCTTCTCCAGATTCCAGCTAAATGCCTCCATTTAAAAAATGTTCTGGACAAATTATTTTTAATATTCAACCCTAAAGTTGAGTTTTTGGTTGACCAGGATGGTTGGGCCATGAAGCAGTGGTGGGATATAGGGAGAAATGAAGGACAAAGTTTATGTCTAGTAGCAGGGCACATGGTTTCACATAAAGTAAATTCATTGCATGGTTTGTTAAAGATTCTAAGGACAAGAGGTGAGACATAAATATAAGTCAAATTGTTCATCAAATAAAACAATTTTCCTTGCAAATGGACATTCAATGATGACAGAAAAAAGATCAAATGAATGTAGCCTGATTTTTTCAGAATAAAAATGATTTTAAAATTTCCAATTCATGCTTCCATCCTTTATAACCAATAATATAAACAGATGCACAGGCATAAAAAACCAAAGCAAAACACTAGATTTTTTTTCAATTATCAAGAATTCTGATAGAGGAATCTCCCAAGAAAACTCTACTATATTCAATCCAGAAAGAGCTTATTGTATTTTATTTTCGCTTCCATTCTAAGAGACCCGTTCATGGTGTATAAGTATTTTATGAGCCACTGCTTTATCTTCCAGAGAACTTCCAACACTAGTTGCTTGTTAATTACCAACTATTTCATAGTTACTTTGAAATTCTAAAATAATAATTACTATGAACATATTCCATTATTTTATAAGAAGCCCCCTGTGATGCACATTTTATTAGCAGAACGAACATGATTGCTACTTTGCTTGTATGTTTTATTTATTTCCATACAGGTTTGATTCCTTTGCAGCTTCTCATTTTTGCCTGTTGTATAATTCATGATTTATACAATATTATAGTAGGTATATGACACCCTCATTTTATTAGCTACACTATAATTTCCACACCATATACAAATGAAGTTTGGCTGGGGAAAGTTTTGTTCATTTGTTTATTTATTTATTTAATTTTACCTTTTGGCATAAAACATATTTCTAAACCATTTCCTCAAGACACTTTTTGCACTTGAACCCATATTTTAAAGTTTCTGTTAACCTCCTTGGACACAAAATAACATTTTAAAAGACCAAACAACCACATTAATTGCTGTGGATTTCTGCATCATGTTGGTATCTAACAGGAAATTTGAAAATAATATGTTTATAAAAGCAAGAGCTAAGTAGAGTCTGACTTCAATCAATGGGAATTTGATATGTTGAAATTGAAATGCAGTCATACTTCATCAATTTACTTATGACATTTAATCAGAATTGGTATCATTTATGATATATATATACATATTTTTTGACAGGGTCTTGCTCTGTTGCCTAGGCTGGAGTGCAGTGACACGATCTGGACTCAATGCAACCTCTGCCTCCTGAGCTCAAGCCATCCTCCCACTCAACCTCTCAAGTAGCTGGGACGGCAGGTGTGTACCACCACACCTGGCTAATTTTTGTAATTTTAGTAGAGACAGGGTTTCACCATGTTGCCCAGGCTGGTCTCGAACTCCTGAACTGAAGCAATTCACCCACTTCAGCCTCCCAAAGTACTGGGATTACAGGTGTCAGCCACTGCACCTGGCCCATTTTTGACACTTCCATCAATTATAGGATGTAAAGGAATTTATTTGTCCAATAGTGACTAAAGTACCACTAGCTCATTGAGATCAATTTTAAAAGGTTAAACATAGGGATTCAATTTTCAAACTATTTTAGCTTTTGTATTTTGAAAGGTTTGCACAAGAATTCAAGTTAAGACATTACTTTGGCTATAAAATTTCTGAAACCATTTCTTTAAAGTATCTGCTTTTTTTTACTAGTCCTTTCATTTTTTTTTATTATACTTTTAAGTTCTAGGTACATGTGCACAATGTGCAGGTTTGTTACATATGTATACATGTGCCATGTTGGTGTGCTGCACCAATTAACTCGTCATTTAGCATTAGGTAAGTTGGATTCCTAGGTATTTTATTCTCTTAGTAGCAATTGTGAAGGGGAGTTCACTCATGATTTGGCTCTCTGTTTGTCTGTTATTGGTGTATAGGAATGCTTGGGATTTTTGCACATTGATTTTGTATCCTGAGACTTTGCTGAAGTTGCTTATCAGCTTAAGGAGATTTTGGGCTGAGACGATGGGGTTTCTAAATATACAATCATGTCACCTGCAAACAGGGACAATTTGACTTCTTCTTTTCCTAATTGAATACACTTTATTTCTTTCTCCTGCTTGACTGCCCCAGCCAGAACTTCTAACACTGTGTTGAATAGGAATGGTGAGAGACGGCATCGCTGTCTTGTACCAGTTTTCAAAGGGAATGCATCCAGTTTTTACCCATTTTGTATGATATTGGCTGTGGGTTTGTCATAAATAGCTCTTATTATTTTGAGATACGTCCTATCAATACCTAAATTATTGAGAGTTTTTGGCATGAAGAGCTGTTGAATTTTGTCAAAGGCCTTTTCTGCATCTATTGAGACAATCATGTGGTTTTTGCCTTTGGTTCTGTTTGTTTATATGCTGGATTACGTTTATTGATTTGCGTATGGTGAACCAGCCTTGCATCCCAGGGATGAAACCCACTTGATCATGGTGGATAAGCTTTTTGATGTGCTGCTGGATTCTGTTTGCCAATATTTTACTGAGGATTTTTGCATTGATGTTCATCAGGGATATTGGTCTAAAATTCTCTTTTTTTGCTGTGTCTCTGCCAGGCTTTGGTGTAAGGATGATGCTGGCCTCATAAAATGAGTTACAGAGGATTCCATCTTTTTCTATTGTTTGGAATAGTTTCAGAAGGAATGGTACCAGCTCCTCTTTTTATCTCTGGTAGAATTTGGCTGTGAATCCCTCTGGTCCTGGATTTTTTTGGTTGGTAGGATCTTAATTATTGCCTCAATTTCAGAGCCTATTATTGGTCTATTCAGGGATTCAACTTCTTCCTGGTTTAGTCTTGGGAGAGTGTATGTGTCCAGGAATTTATCCATTTCTTCTAGATTTTCTAGTTTATTTGCATAGAGGTGTTTATAGTATTCTCTGGTGGTAGATTGTATCTCTTTGGGATCGGTGGTGATATCCCCTTTGTCATTTTTTATTGCGTCTATTTGATTCTTCTCTCTTTTCTTCTTTATTAGTCTTGCTAGTGGTCTATCAATTTTGTTGATCTTTTCAAAAAACCATCTCCTGGATTCATTGATTTTTTTGAAGGGTTTTTTGTATCTCTATCTTCCTCAGTTCTGCTCTGATCTTAGTTATTTCATGTCTTCTGCTAGCTGTTGAATGTGTTTGCTCTTGCTTCTCTAGTTCTTTCAATTGTGATGTTAGGGTGTCAACTTTAGATCTTTCCTGCTTTCTCTTGTGGGCATTTAGTGCTATAAATTTCCCTCTACACACTGCTTTAATTGTGTCCCAGAGATTCTGGCATGTTGTGTCTTTGTTCTCATTGGTTTCAAAGAACATCTTTATTTCTGCCTTCATTTCATTATGTACCCAGTGGTCATTCAGGAGCAGGTTGTTCAGTTTCCATGTAGTTGAGTGGTTTTGAGTGAGTTTCTTAATCCTGAGTTCTAGTTTGATTGCACTGTGGTCTGAGAGACAGTTTGTTATAATTTCTGTCCTTTTACATTTGCTGAGGAGTGCTTTACTTCCAACTATGTGGTCAATTTTGGAATAAGTGCGATGTGGTGCTGAGAAGAATGTATATTCTGTTGATTTGGGGTGGAGAGTTCTGTAGATGTCTATTAGGTCCACTTGGTCCAGAGCTGAGTTCAATTCCTGGGTATCCTTGTTAACTTTCTGTCTCGTGGATCTGTCTAATGTTGACAGTGGGGTGTTAAAGTCTCCCATTATTACTGTGTGGGAGTCTAAGTCTCTTTGTAGGTCTCTAAGAACTTGCTTTATGAATCTGGGTGCTTCTGTATTGGGTGCATATATTTTTAGGATAGTTAGCTCTTCTTGTTGAATTGATCCCTTTACCATCATGTAATAGCCTTCTTTGTCTCTTCTGATCTTTGTTGGTTTAAAGTCTGTTTTATCAGAGACTAGGATTGCAACCCCTGCTTTTTTTTTGGTTTTCCATTTGCTCAGTAGTTCTTCCTCCATCCCTTTATTTTGAGCCTATGTGTGTTTCTGCACGTGAGATGGATCTCCTGAATACAGTACACTGATGGGTCTTGACTCTTTATCCAATTTGCCAGTCTGTGTCTTTTAATTGGAGCATTTAGCCCATTTACATTTAAGGTTAATATTGTTATGTGTGAATTTGATCCTGTCATTACGATGTTAGCTGGTTATTTTGCTCGTTAGTGGATGCAGTTTCTTCCTAGCATTGATGGTCTTTACAATTTGGCATGTTTTTGCAGTGGCTGGTACTGGTTGTTCCTTTCCACGTGTAGTGCTTCCTTCAGGAGCTCTTGTAAGGCAGGTCTGGTGGTGACAAAATCTCTCAGCATTTTCTTGTTTGTAAAGGATTTTATTTCTCCTTCACTTATGAAGATTAGTTTGGCTGGATATGAAATTCTGGGTTGAAAATCCTTTTCTTTAAGAATGTTCAATATTGGCCCCCACTCTCTTCTAGCTTGTAGAGTTTCTGCCGAGAGATCTGCTGTTAGTCTGACGGGCTTCCCTTTGCGGGTAACCTGACCTTTCTCTCTGGCTGCCCTTAACATTTTTTCCTTCACTTCAACTTTGGTGAATCTGATAATTATATGTATTGGAGTTGCTCTTCTTGAGGAATATCTTTGTGGTGTTCTCTGTATTTCCTGAATTTGAATGTTGGCCTGCCTTGCTAGGTTGGGGAAGTTCTCCTGGATAATATCCTGCAGAGTGTTTTCCAACTTGGTTCCATTCTCCCCATCACTTTCAGGTATACCAATCAGACGTAGATTTGGTCTTTTCACATAGTCCCATATTTCTTGGAGGCTTTGTTCATTTCTTTGTATTCTTTTTTCTCTAAACTTCTCTTCTCGCTTCATTTCATTCATTTGATCTTTAATCACTGATAAACTTTCTCCCAGTTGATCGAATCAGCTACTGAAGCTTGTGAATTCCTCACATAGTTCTTGTGCCATGGTTTTCAGCTCCATCAGGTCATTTAAGGTCTTCTCTATGCTGTTTATTCTAGTTAGCCATTCGTCCAATCTTTTTTCAAGGTTTTTAGCTTCTTTGCCATGGGTTCAAATGTCATCCTTTAGCTCAGAGAAGTTTGTTATTACAGATCTTCTGAAGCCTTCTTCTCTCAACTCGTCACAGTCATTCTCCATCCAGCTTTGTTCCATTGCTGGTGAGGAGCTGCATTCCTTTGGGGGAAAAGAGGCCCTCTGATTTTTAGAATTTTCAGCTTTGCTGCTCTGGCTTCTCCCCATCTTTGTGGTTTTATCTACCTTTGGTCTTTGATGATGGTGATATACAGATGGGCTTTTGGTGTGGATGTCCTTTCTGTTTGTTAGTTTTCCTTCTAACAGTCAGGACCCTCAGGTGCAGGTCTGTTGGAGTTTGCTGGAGGTCCACTCCAGACCCTGTTTGCCTGGGTATCACCAGCAGAGGCTGCAGAACTGCAAATATTGCAGAATGGCAAATGTTGCTGCCTGATCGTTCCTCTGGAAGCTTCATCTCAGAGGGGCACCTGGCCGTATAAGGCCCTTACTGGGAGGTACCTCCAAGTTAGGCTACATGGGGGCCCGGGACCCACTTGAAAAGGCAGTCTCTCCATTCTCAGATCTCAAACTCTGTGCTGGGAGAACCAGTACTCTCTTGAAAGCTGTCAGACAGGGACATTTAAGTCTGCAGAAGTTTCTGCTGCCTTTTGTTCAGCCATGCCCTGCCCCCAGAGGTGGAGTCTACAGAAGCAGGCAGGTCTCCTTGAGCTGCGGCGGGCTCCACCCAGTTCGAGCTTCCCGGCTGCTTTGTTTACCCACTCAAGCCTCAGCAATGGCGGCCGCCCCTCCTCCAGCCTTGCTGCCACCTTGCAGTTCAGTCTCAGACTGCTGTGCTAGCAGTAAGCAATGCTCCATGGGCGTGGGACCCTCCAAGCTATGCGCGGGATATAATCTCCTGGTGTGCCATTTGCTAAGACCATTGGAAAAGCACAGTATTAGGGTGAGAGTGACTCAATTTTCCAGGTGCCATGTGTCACAGCTTCCCTTTGCTAGGAAAGGGAATTCCCCGACCCCTTGTGCTTTCCGGGTGAGGTGATGCCTCACCCTGCTTTGGCTCACGGTCCATGGGCTGCACCCACCATCCTGCACCCACTGTCCTACAAGCCCCAGTGAGATAAACCTGGTACCTCAGTTGGAAATGCAGAAATCACCTGTCTTCTGTGTCACTCATGCTGGGAGCTATAGACTGGAGCTATTCCTATTCAGCCAACTTGGAGGATGGCCTTCCACCCTCTCAATTTTTACTGAGCATCCACTACCTGCTGCACAGTGTGCTAGGCCATAAAAGATGGTCGAAACCAAAGTCTGGTGTTAAAAACACAGGAATAGGAGGATAGTGGTTCTAAAATAGCCAGATGGTTTTTGAGGAAGCATAGCCTATTGGAAAGGATATCGGACAGAAGATTGGGAAGGAAGGTTACAGCCAAAATATAGGATGCATTAAATGTTAGGCTAAGGAATTCATTTGGAGTAATAATTAATGTTATCAGGTTCTACTTAAACTATTTCTCTAGCCTCCTAACTGATATCTTTGCTCCCAGGCTCATCTAATATTTATCTACCCATCAAGGTGAGAATGGTTTTCCAAATTGTAAATCTGCTCCAATCACTCTTTTATATACCTTTCTACACAGTTTCTGATTTCTTAAAATCCAAACTCCTGAGCTAAGCACACAAGGCCATTCATGTTCTGTCACCTGATTTCTTCCACAGCTCATTTCATTTATCCCCACCTGATCTTCCAGCTTCTTAAAGTATCTTAAAAGCATCATATTTTCTCAGTTTGCAACCAAGTCCTCTCTGAACAAAAAGGCTCCTGGATACCATTTTCATCTGTGTCTTTCATTTCTTTCTAAAAAGAGCTCATAGAGCATCCTTCTTTTGGATGTCCACTCTTACAAAGTCAGTTTAGTTTAGGCATTTCCACTCTGTGCTGCCATGGAATGCCACAGAATGCTGTACATACCTCTATTTTGAAAACTCTATTATCAAATTGCCCACTTATTTAAAAGGTTTCCCCTAATTCACTGTGACCTCCTTGAGGAAAGAGATTTCGGCTTTTCTCTTTATGTAGAAGGACTACAATGGATGTTCAAATACATATTGGATAAAAGGATGCTTAAGCAATATGTGGCATGATTTGGGATGTGCTTTAGAGAAAGTAATCTAGCAACAGTGAGAATTGGTTAACAGAGACAAAAGAATACTGAAATGTGGGAGACCAGGAAAAGTTGAGGAGGTCAATGTCACAAACATTTTGGCCTTATCAGTAGCTAATAATTACTAATGTCACTATGCAGACTCTACTGTGAGAACTATTTTTGCTCTTATGGCTTTGACTATTACCCATAGCTAGATTACTTCCAAATTAATATTTCCAGTCTTTATCTGCCTCATAAATTTCAGAGAGGCACTGGAATGGAGTAGAAATATGGTGTTTGGAGTCAAATAGATCTGAGTTTCTATTGGGACTCTGACGTTCAACACTATTTGTTGAGCTAGTCTTCACCAACATATTAAAAAAGTCAGAGCACTGGGCTTTTTCTGGGCAAGAGGGACAATTTTTATGATGAGGAATAAAGTGTAAATTGGGTAAGGTTTACAAAAGAGTCCTCCTATGTCCAATTTCAGTGCTTCCTTTCAATCTTCACATCCTGAGAGAGATCCTTCTAAAATCCAAGTCTAATCTTGGTAGTCCCAAATTTAAAAATCCTTCAATGGTTAATCTGAAGAATACAGTCTAATATTTCTAGTCCAGCCCAAATGCATAAGTCTTTGCCTTTCTTTCCAGTCTCATGCTCAAGCCATGGTCTCTTATGTGGCCCAGATAGTGCCACTGCTTTCTTGAATTCATGCCTTGGTAGGACTGTTTCTTTTATCAGGGTTCATTTTTAATTCTTCTCTTGATGAACATCTTCATTCTTCACGATAAGCCTAACTGTAGTTTTGGGGATGGAGGCAATTTCTGAATCTGTAATTAAGGGCATTAATTTCCTCAAAGTGTATGTTAACGTGCATATTAAACTGCCCTCATGTTTACGTAACTATCCAAATAAAATGTATGTGGAATCTTTTATGTGGCTTATACATTTCAGGTTATGGAGGGCTATAATGGCAGAGCAAGACACACATGGTCCTTTCACAAAGCATGCGATGTGAGCTAGTTGAAGTATATGAGTTATTTATGTGTAAACTTCACTCATGTTTAAGTGGACATTCCACTGAAATTTACATGGAAGCCTCTATATGACTCATAAAATACTAGGTACTGAGGTTACAGTGGTGACCAAAAAACACATAGCCCTTTCCTCAAGGAGGTTACATTTTGGTTGATAAAAGAAGGTTCAGCTAAATAAGGTAAAATAAGCTTCTATTTAAAGCAGGGCAGAGAAAGATCTTCCAGATGTTTTTAACTTCTTCCTTGTAATGGAATAGAATGGTGATAATGCTTATTGTGCTCCAAGATTACAAACTAGATAAGAGATATGTGCTATCCCAGTGCCAGACTCTCAGGGGAGACAGATGAAGCAGCATTGCCTTCAAGGTAATATCTGTACGAATGCTGCATTCCATGCGGATGTATTCGTAGCATTTCAACCACCAGTCAGCTTTGAATCTGTATTCTAGAATATCCAGAATCTCATTTCTAATGCCTGAGGAGTTCACAGCCATAGAAGTCGAGTCATTGTTCAAAGTACTGTATCTTAAACTCAATTAAAGGATGTTTAGGCAATCCTGGCCAAGGAAAAAAAAAAAAAAGAAAGAAAGGAAAGAAAGAAAAAAGAAAACCAAGAAACGCAGGTATATTCTAAATGAAAATGGGTCACTCTAAATCAGTTATCCAGGATGGTTTGTCCATCTCAGCAAGAAAATAGAGTAACTTGCTTTCAGCTATTTGGAGAAAAATAAAATTTTGCAATTCTAATAAATAATGAAAATACCTCCCTGGAGTTTTTGAGTCTATTCTTAAATATATCCATTTTGGAATATAAATTCCTTTAGGGCAAATATTGTATTATGTATAACAACAAGAAATGGCATCTGCTTTATAAATATTTTAGAAACCCCAGAAACTAATTGCTGGGGGAGGGGATTCATTGGTTATTAGTTCCACAAGAAGAAGCAACTGTTGCAGTAGCACCAATGTGTAGGATGATTGAAACCCTAGACTCAGAGATAAATTGAACCAGATTGCTAGTTAGGATAGTGATGAAAACGAAGAGCTATTTCTTCTTCTCCAGTCTTCAGAAAAGATAATCTTTAGATATTTCATTATATTATCTCTATGGCAATGTTTCTCAACCATGGCCACATATTAGAATTATCTGGAGTGCTTATAAAAGATACTAATGGCTAAATGTCACTCCTGGAAATTCTGGGCTAGGGTTTAGACATTCTGGTGTATGCAATCAGGGTCAAAAATCACTGCTCTATGGGGTGTTACTTACATTTGTTTTTCATTTTATGTAGAATGAACTCATGGTGACAGCCAAGGGTCATTTTTCCAGGTCAATGTCTCTCTGGCTTACCTTCCCATGTCCTCACAGGATTAAACTGCTGCTTAGGTCCATGTAGCAATCTTCATCCTCAGATATTAGCAGTCCTGAAATGAGTACTGCTGCTGCTAAGACCCATAGGTTGATTCCAATCCTCTGATAGACTAGCCCTGATTTTTTAAAAACATCTGGGTTGTAGGAATCTGTAAGTGATTCTTGAATCTGTTTATACTAGTTCATAAAGTAGGAACAACTATATATATAAATATGTATATATATACATATTTATATATATACATATATATATATACATACATATATATATGTATATATATATATATATACACATATATAATACTTGGTGTTATGGCTGAATGTTGCCTCCTCAGATTTGTGTGTTGAAGTTCTAATGCCCAGTAATTTGGAATGTAACTGTACTTGGAGTTAGAATATTTAAAGAAGTAATTGCCTTGAAAAGGAGGTAATTAATGTGGGCCCCAATCCAATAACTGGTATCCTTATAAGAAGAAGAAATATGGACACACACATGTACTGAGGAAAGGAAAGATGATGTGAAGGCAGGAAGAAGACAGGCATCTACAAGTCTAAAAGAGAAGATCAAAAGAAGCCAGTGCTGCTGACACTTTGATCTCAGATTTCAAGACTCCAAAAATAAATTTATGTTGTTGAAGTCACCCAGTCCGTGGTATTTTCTATGGCAGCCCTAATAGATGAATGCAATTGATTACTGCAAAATTCATGGTGGTAGAAATTTGCTGATGTCCTCCATAACATTCACTTTTGGGAGAGCCTTTTTTCCCAATAAAAATATCCTAATTTACTGTTTAGAAATTAATTATTTCTCCATTCTTTGCCAGGTAGTTTTTCCTAACTCAACTTCCCACTCTAAAAATGGAGTCTGGTTTATGCAATCATAGCTCATTCTTCAGTATATTGGGATGGACATTTAAAACCACCAGAACCAGTGATATGCAGGGAGGTATTTTTTTTTTTTTTTTTTTTTTTTTTTTTTTTTTTTTTTTTTTTTTTTTTTTTTTTTGAGACGGAGTCTCACTCTGTCGCCCAGGCTGGAGTGCAGTGGCGCGATCTCGGCTCACTGCAAGCTCCGCCTCCCGGGTTCACGCCATTCTCTTGCTTCAACCTCCCGAGTAGCTGGGACTACAGGTGCCTGCCACCACGCCCAGCTAATTTTTTGTATTTTTAGTAGAGACGGGGTTTCACCGTGTTAGCCAGGATGGTCTCGATCTCCTGACCTCGTGATCCGCCCGCCTCGGCCTCCCAAAGTGCTGGGATTACAGGCGTGAGCCACCGCGCCCGGCCGCAGTGAGGTATTTTATAAGGCTTCTAGATTAGGAAAAATTCCTTTCCCCGTGCAGTTATAAAAACAAGACATTCTCTTTCTACTGGACATACCTGGTGAATGGTAGAGCTCTGGATTTACCCCTCATTTTTTTTTAACAGTGAGAAAAACTTGACTGAGAATGAGACTAATAGGTAATCAGTGCAGAAATATAACTAGGAAAATGGAATTTTAGTTATATCTTTTAAACTCTTGATCAAACTCCACCTGATTGAACAACTTTTCGAGTATTTAGTATTGTGAAGAAATAAACCTTCATGGTTAAGCATGTTGAATTGGGTTTTCTTTTATTTATTGACATATAAATAGTCCGATATGGTGCATTGTTACTCTATGAGATTCTCTCAAACATTGTTGTCATATTATGCTTACACAGAATCCAGTCTTTACTCTGGTCCACAAAGTCTTATATTGCCTGGAGTCTTGCCTATTTCTTTAATTCTATCTCCTACTACACTTAACCTGATTCATTCTGCCTTAAATACATTGGCCTTCCCAATAGGACCAAGTTAATTTCCACCTCGGGACTTTTGTAAGTGCTCCCTCATCTGCCAGAATATTCTTCCTCCAGATCTTCATATGGTCTGCTCATTTCCTCATTTCATTAAGTCTCTACAATGAGAGCTAAATTTGTGTTCATCTTGTTTACTACTCTCTCTCAAGTGTTTAGAATACTGCCTGGTACATCATAAGCACCCAGTAATAGCGCAAATGAATGAGTGACTTAAAACAATGAAAAATACTCTTCCTGTTCTGACTTTTGAAGACCTCTCAGATATTTTCCAATGAGAGACATGGCTTGAGTTATGTATCTATGTCGACATCTTGAAGCACAGAGAGTTGATGTCAGGGGAGATTTGGGACAATTACCATGCTCTTGCTTCATACGTTTGTTTTAAGGTCTTCAAATAAGTCAAGAAAGATAGATGCAGGCTAATTCTGCTGGCAAGAAGCACTCCTTAGAGTCTGCAACTTCACAGGGCTCAAATGATCCAGAGTCACCTGAATTTAATGAAATATCCCCAAGCCAAGTCTTAGAATTACAGTCTTTGGCAATTAATGCTTTTGTTTTTAGATAAAAGAGCTATTGGGATTGTGAACTCAACTTATGCTGTAATTAAACAACCCCGATGATCAGATTTTGAACTAAATTTTTGGCTAAATCAACCTTTAGAGAGAATGTCTTCTATGGTTTTTTGGCCTACTGACTGTGGCTTGAACTAAGAATTTCAAAATATTGCTTATAATTTTATTTCTTTAAATGTAGAGAATAGCACATTCTTTTTATGTATTCTCACATAACATTCTTTAGCAGCCACTCTTTGATATGCTAAAGTTCCTGCTTTCATAGGCACTTCCTTGCAGGTGTTAATACCACAGGAAACAATTTTATAACGTTTTTGTTGATGTGTCCCTTGGATCATCAATATCCTATTTTCTAATGACATCTGGAACTCATTTCCTTGAAACCCAAGCAGGTGAGATAATCAATACCAGATTCCATCCTTGATGATCTGTCTGCATCTAGTGTGTGTGTGTGTGTGTGTGTGTGTGTGTGTGTGTGTGTGTAATTTGTTGGATTTTAATTGTAAGAAACTGAAACCACTTAAAATTTTTTAAGCAGAAGGAGATTTAATAAAAGAAACAGGTGCTTATGGTATCAGTGGAGGGGTGAAGGAGTGGAATCTGGTCAGCAACTCCAGTAATGACTCTTGAGCACAACCACTGAATTAGCCCACCAGGGGTGTAGCTGCCTCTGCCATAATCTGTTTTCCATGTTTGGACTCAGAGTGATGTCGTTCAAATGTAATATGAGCAGCCTATGACAAAGTCCAAAATAATTAATGGACTTCCTTTGCTCTTTGGATAAAGAACAAATTTCTTACTATAACTTTTCAGGTCCCTTGTGGTGTAGACCATACCCTCTACTGTGAATTTTCCTCACACTATGTTTCCCATTTCCTGCATGCCAGCCACACTGTTTTCTATCTTTTTTGCTTTCCATGCTCTCTCATAGGAGGAAACTTGGCAAACTTTGGTAGACAGGGTCTGTAGTTTCACAGGGTTCAAGTAATGCAGAGTCATTTTGATTTAACAAGACATCCCTATGCCAGGTCTTAGGACTGCAATCTTTGGCAATTAATGTTCTCGTATTTAGATTAAAAAGCTGGTGAGACTGTGCACACATCTATCTATCCCATCCACTTTTAATTTTCTGGCTCCCTTGTAGTTAGGCTTTATGATATGATTTTGGATTCCAGTAATCAGATATAGCTATTTAACCTTTATATTCCGAAAGTGAAGTAAAAGTCATTTTCTTGCTGTTTAGGTGTCTCAGTGAAAAGTACAAGGCCTGAGAATATTGAGTGTTTCAGTAGCAGTATTCCAAGTCCAGTAATTAGCTTGAGGGATTGTTGGTCCTGAAAAATTCCCTACCTTTCTGATTGTGACAACTTTGCTTTTGTTTTTAATAATAGTTTGCAGCATTTGTAATTTGTTTTTTAGAAAAAAAATTATTTTGTATAAAGGAATTTGTGCATTTTACTCCATTGTTTACCAGCTTCTATTGTGGTTGTTTCAATTTCTGCTGTTATTCTAATTGTTATTGCTTTCAGAAAATCTGTTTATTTCTGTCTGATTCCTTTATTTTTTATTTCTCTGATCTTTGATGTCCTGCACTTTCACTACAACAGGTTTATATGGGAATTTCTTTTCATTTATCATGCCTAATACATACTATGATTCTTGGATATGTGGATTTGTGATTGAGAGATACAATTTTACTTAGTCTGAAAAACTTCCATCCATTTTATCTACACATACTGTGCCTCCATTCTTTATTTTTTGAACTCGATTCATATGTATTTTATACACTTTCAGTCTTTTATGCATATTTCAAACATTTAATCTTGCATCAGTATACTACATTCTGTATCATTTTATTGGATTTATCTTCAGGTTTGTTAAATCTGCTGTTAAATTGGTCCATTATTATTTTTCATTTGAAGAGCTATAGTTTGTATCTCTAGCTGTCCTTTTTTATTTATCTCATCTATCTATTGATTACTCATAGCTTCTTACTGCAAACTAATCTTCGACATTGCATTATTCATTTCTGCATAGGATTTACATATATGACTATATATATCTGTGTCTTATAATCTCAATATTTGAAGTTCTTGGGGGTCTAAATATATTACTTGTTGTTTCTACTGACTTTTATTCATAGGAGCCACTTCCTTAATTGCTTAGTAGTCCTTTTAGTGGTAAATAGATGGCTTTACCTTAACCTGTATCACTTGAATTGAGAAAGATTTCCTCCAGACAGGAACTATTGATGGTCAGGTTACATGACCCATCTGGGATCACTACAATCTCTGTATGAGTTTAGTTTGTCCCATATGTATCCTGGTAGGTGACCCAATTCACAGCAGGAACAAAGCTTTGTAGCATGAGGGCTCTGATGCAGCATCCATATTCCAAGGAAGTCTGCCTATTTAGGTTCCCAGTCATTCTATCTGCAATTCCCTGATGCTGAAGCCTAGGTCATATTTTAGAAAGTGACAAATATCTTTGGAGAAAACTCTCCTACTTTTGTGAGATTGCTTTGAAGATTTTTCATATGAAGTATACATTTGTTTTTCTACAGTGTAATAATTCCACAGAATGCCCAGTCATCTATATGCCAAAAGCTGGTCTATAGTTATTTAAGATCGATGATATTATTCAAAATTATGAGAAAACAGAAGACTTTGAGATATTTAGGAATTTTTATAAACATAGTCTTACTCTAAAACAATTAAGGACACAGAAATCAGATCTTTTACTGTAAGACTTTGTGCTAAGCTCAGGCAGAAGGAGTTCGATGCAGCATTATGATCTTTGTTTCTTCTCTCCTGCTCATTCCTCTTAATTCTATTTCCAATATCACACCCAGGAGTCTCATGCAAACCTCTCCTTTTGCCTCCACAAGTCAAGTGAATTTCTTAATTGTAAATATGGTTTTCCCTTTGTTGAAATTATGGAGAATTTTAGGGTGGTTTTTTCCTCTGGGATAACCAATACATCGTTCTCATTGTCTCTCTCCTCTCTGATTCCCATGGCAGGTATCATTATTTGTTACAGTAGTTTGTGTTGTTATTATTGTTGTACAAAGACTTCCAATTCTTTTCAATGCAGAACTCCAAACGTTCAAAGCCACTGAATTGGAGTTGGTGCTTCAGGCAAAACCTGACTTTATAACAGGCATGAAGTCCACTTAGGAGAAACCCAGGAGAACCCAACTGGGGAGGATTTTTGTATGTTTCTTCTCTCTGCTTCATATCTGGAGACACTATGGCAATGTTGAAAAAAATGGATATATGCAGCCAAGATGAGAAATTAAGCTTTTAAATTGAAGTTATAATACTCAAACAGAAGAGTGAGTAAAATATAAATTGACAGATAATTGTATTATCACTATAAACATTATCACTGCACAGCTATACTGTATATGTAGATGTAATTTGTTCACTTTATGGCTATATTGAGTTCTGTTGAATTAACTTACCACAAGTTACTTTTTCATTTTACTGTGATGGACAGTAGGGCTGTTTCTAGTATTGTCTATTGAGAATAGTGCTGCTGCTCTATGTGATGACTCAAGTTAATAAAATTGTATTATATTAGGGATTTTCATTAAATAAGTTGATTTTAGCTGCATTTGTTATGAAAAACTATGTGAAATGATAGATATGTTGATCTTCTTCACCATAGCAACTATTTTACTATCAACACATACCCCATAACATCATGTTGTAAATCTCAAATAAACACAAATGGGAAATTTATTTTAAGAATGGTACTGCTATTTAAAAAATAGTTATTGTCCCTGATTTTTTGGACCATGTGCATACATATTCCTATTGGGTACATGCCTAATTGTAAAATAGCTAAGTTATTGGTAGAATAAAATTTATCATTCAAACCAGTACACTTTGAGAGTAAAAAAAAAAGGTATTATATGTCATTATACCAGAGCAACAGGTATAAATTTATTCTATTTTGTGCAAATTATGATATGTGAATATTCTGTTCATAGGATATGCATATGTCCAAATTTAGTAGATAATGCTATATATTTTTCTGAGATTATATACATTCCATTCCTACCAGAACCATATAAGAGGTCCAGTTTTTCACATTTTCAACAACACTTTGGTATTAGACGATGTGTAGTATTTTCTCATTTTGTTTTTAATTAACATTTCTGTGATTATTGATGTTAAGCAGTTCAAATATGTAATGGTAACTTGGAAAACAACTTTTGGGAATGCCAGTTTTAGTCTCTTGCCCGTTTTTTTCTACAATGTGTCTGTTTTTGTATTGGTTTGTAGATTTGTTTTTATATCCTGGAGAGAAGCCAAAATGCATTTATATGTATTTCCATATAGATTTTAAAATTAGCTTGTCAAGATGAACACCAACACCAGAAACAAAAGCCATTTCATTTTGATTGGGATTGCTTTTAACCGATAGATCTAACTGGAGAGAAGTGATACCTTTATAAGTGAGTTATCGGCGGTCTTTTAACCCCTATGGTTTCATAAGAAATTCTTCTTTGAAAAAAGAGATAATAAGGAATACAAGATGCCATTGCTTCACTTCCCAAGCCTAACTTGGAGCAGAGGGTGATGGCATTAGAGAGTCCTGCATGCTTGTTGGTCTTTCTTCTCCTGTGTCTATCCATTTCCAAGGTAAGAATAGTCCATTGTTGGTACAAATTACTTCAAAGAAGATGCTATAATGTCATTGCAGAATTCCCTTGTGAACCAATCTATGACGAAATCATTCTAACAGTATAATCCAGAAATTGAATTAGAAAATCAGAAATCGTTTGATCATCTGGAACTACACGTAAACTATTAACAAAGAGGTTATCTACCATTCTTTCCACTGCCAACGGCTCTTGTTGCATCATTCTCTCATAGCATCTTTCAGTATGAAGCGCCAACTTGATCCACTTTTATAGTCACAAAATCTTTGTTTTTTTCCATATTTGTAAATCTCTGCATTTTTTATGACCATCTGTTCATTTTCTGTTTCCCCGGATACAGAGTACAGTTCAATCCCAGATACTCCATTTTTTTCCTCTTTATTTTTATTCAAGCCAAATTCTATTTTTTTCTTCTTCTTTTTTTTTTTTTTTTCCTCCTGGAGAGGAGGAGTTAACTCCAGGACCTAATAGTATTCCATCTAAAGTGATAGCCACTTATTTCTCTTGCATACCATGAATATTTCCTTTCCTATCTTCCCACGTCCCAGTTCTCATTAACATGGCTCCAGATTTCACTCATGCTGGTGAAATGATTTCTGTCAATCTTCCTTCAGTAATTATCTTAATTCCCACAGAAAGCTCTTTTTATCCTAAAGGTTCAGAGACCCATTCTGTAAAAATGATTGTGATTTTTTTTTTCAAGCTTTCAAGTTGTTTTGTTTGCAGTTTTCTGGGTGACTATGAGAAGGATGTTATAGCCAGAGCATCACAAGACAAGGGCTGGGCAAACACTCTCAAACCCTTCTTTATTCTTTCCTAAGACATGTTCCCCAGATATGCTGCTACTTTTTCTGTACTAACAAATTCCCTAGCACTGGCCCTTTTTGCTCCCCATAAAAACTATGATTTTCAAGCAACTAACCAATTATTGTATCTTCATCGAAAACATACATGCCAAGCAGCTGGATGGGAGCTGTGTAGTGTGGCATTTAAACTTGAGTGTTTTGGAGTGAGAAGGCCTGGGTTTCAATCCCATTCTCTCAAATAATCAAGTACAGTTACCTTAATCAGGTAATGCTAATGCACACTGTAACAAACTACCTTACAATTTCAGTGCTTAACACAACACAAGTGCATGTATTTCTAGCTATCATAAAATCCAGTTCAGATGTTCCTCAGCTATCCTGCGGAGCCCTACTCCAGATGGTGACTAAGAGATCATGCCCCTTCTGTGTAGTGATGTCTGCTATCCCCTGGATGTTCTCCTGAATCCCTGCATTTACCTGGGCATCAGTGTGTGGCAAACCATAGATGATCTCACAGAACATTTGGGGTGCAAGGAAAAAAGAGGTGAATGTTATTTCCATTCACATTTTGTTGGGTATAACCAGAAATATGGCCTGATCTGGATGCAAGGATAATGAAAATTACAGTCTTCCATGTTCCGAGGTGAAAATTAAATGGTTAATACCAGGAAAGTTTCTTTATTGAAGTTTCTTCAAATGTTAAGACGGAGTTAATAGTGGTCCTCACCTCATAGGTTGGTGTGAAAATTTCTGACTATAAGAAGTATGTGATAAATGTTTATTATTATTATACTTGGAACAGGTGGCATGATGGCTTTTGAGACCAAACTCCATTTGCAGTAACATCAAAAGCTCTTGAAATATTGGGAGCCCCAGGGGCGGCAAAGGAGCTGAGAAAACAACTTGACATTTACAGCCCAAAAGGGTGGGGATAGGAGAGCCTGCTTCAGCTGCTGACGAGGCAGCAAAGAGACCTACAGATTGTTACCGGACTGCTCCACAAAACAGGTTTTTATTACGAGATCACTTTCATTTACACCAAAACAAGAGATGTTCTTAACCTGAAACCCTTAAAATCCTGAGACTCTAAGACGGGGTGGGGAGAGAGAGTGCTGTGAACACTGTGAAACAGTATGTAAGTAAATGTTCATCATTCTAAGAACATTTTTCCTAAAGAGAGAATTTCTAGTGTCACCACCTTTAAAAAGGGTTGTGTCTTATAAAAATCGAGAACTATTGGTCTTAAAGGACAAATGGTCTAAAATGTATATGCCATGGTTAGTATTTAGTTAATTACCCATGGGGGCTTATTTTGGATGGAGAGAGTGAGAAGGTATTAGGAAAAGGGCAGTTTCCCTCCTCATCCTGTCTGTTGTCTCCTGTGTCTGCCCTGTTGTGTTGCAAGCAAAAGCTGTGGAGGTGGTGATGTCTTTATTTTGCACTTTTCAGATGGGGGTTTTCCTGACATTATTACATGGGGCACTGCATTTCTAGACTTCTCCTTTTGTCATTGATTTTATCTTTTTAAAAATTTGCACTGACGATGTTCATGTGCTGTTTCACTGTTGGAGCCCATTTTCCTTAATTGAATTATATTGACTAGATGCTATCACAGCCTCTGTTCATCCTACAGAGCATTTTGGACTCTTTTCTAATGCTACAAGTTTTGATCAGTTGGAGCTCACTTCTCTGCTTCATTGCTAAATGGATTTTATTTTTTTAATGAGTGGAGGACACCTCCAGTCCTTTACTCCGACAGTTTTCGTAGTGACTCATTACTCCGGCGAATCTGCTATCATGATGTTGTTTTCTGTGAGTGTCTGCAGACTTAGGGCAGACACTGGTCTTATAAGTTGAAAATATTTACCTAATCGAGGGTTCACATTAGATTTAGGGTCTATTGACAAATTAGACATTATCGAAAAAGGCAAAATCCTGTTTTTCAATAACAAATACAAGAAAAACAGATATCTATAATTCTAACTAGATGGCAAAAATCCATGGTTTTGTAGAAATATATATGAAAAGAAAGGCAGAATGCTTTGATCAAAAAAGACTGAGCCCCAAATGCCGGGTTGGTTTGTCCTCTCGTTCTCCTTCTTCCCTCCACCAGGCCTTCCATCTCAGTAAATCCCATCATCATCTTGCCAGGTATTTAAGCTTCGAACCTGGAGTCTTTCTGGATTGTTTTGTCTCCTTCAACATCCATAGCTTTTAGCAAGTCTTTTAAATTTCTACCTTCAAAATATGTTTCTTTTTTTTGTTTTGTTTTGAGGTGGAGTCTCGTTCTGTCGCCCAGGCTGGAGCGCAGTGGCGCAATCTCGGCTCACTGCAACCTTCGCCTCCCGGGCTCAAGCGATTCCCCTGCCTCAACCTCCTGAGTAGCTGGGACTACAGGCGCATGCCACCACGCCCGGCTAATTTTTTGTTCTTTAGTAGAGACGGGGTCTCACCATGTTGGCCAGTATGGCCTTGATCTCCTGACCTCGTGATCCACCCGCCTCGGCCTCCCAGAGTGCTGGGATTACAGGTGTAAGCCACTGCGCCCGGCTCAAAACATATTTCAAATCTGCCCATATCAGTCCATCTACACTGCCACCACCTCTTCCATGCCATGCTATTTCTACAAGTCCCTAATCCTCCCAGTGGGCTTGTTTCCTTCCACTCTCGCCCAGTCTGATCCATTCTTTATACAGAATCAACAGTGATCTTGCTCACATGTCAAGCAGAGTATGGTATTCCCTGTTTAAAGCTCTTCGATGACCATCAATGCATTTAAAATAAAATCAAAACACCTTATGTTGGTCTGCAGAACCCCAGCTCTCTTCTATCTCATACCTTGGTTCACTAAGCTTCTATTTCTGGAAAATACCATGCCAATGCTGGCATCAGAGCCTTTGAACATGCTTCCGTCTCTGCCTGATAGGTTCTTATCCTTCATTCTCTGTACAGCTCATTTCTTTTTCTTCTAGGTGTCTCAGCTTTCTCTTTTCAGAGATGCTTTTCCTGACCACCCGAGGGACCTTTCTTTTTTTGTTTTTCCTTATGCCAATCCTTATGTATTTTCCTTCTTAGCACTTATCACAGTCTGTAATTTTGTTCAATTTTTCTTTACTTGTTTTTATTTTACCCATTATTACATTATATTATAAATTCCTTGAAGACAGTGACCATAACTGTCTTGTTAACCTCTTTTTAAGAAAAAGCACAATATGTAGTTTATGAGGGAATTGATCGTTAATTTTGTGGATCCTGTGTCCAAGCCTATGTTCTAACCTTCCTTGTACTTATGGATCAGTAGTATAAGAGTCCAGCAGGATCGTAGCTGAAATGATACCTCATCATCCATTCATGAGCAGATTTCTATTATGTGCTCAGTATGTGCTAAGCAGAGTGCCAGAGGCTAAATATTCAAAGGTACAAGAAACACCATTTCTCATGTCTCCAGGAAGCTTATATGCTAGTTCAAAAGAACAGGTTTCCTCAATAATCAAATAATTAGTACAAATTGGAAATTGTAATAAATGCTACAAGTGAGACGTAACAGGTATCGTGAGGGCATGTTTTCCAAAGGAAAAAAAGGAACATCCAGAAAAGAAATAACATGGACATATGGGCCATAACAAATATGAGAAAATAGGGAAAGTCAGAGATCTGGATTGCTGAGTGGGAGGGGCTCTGGGGTGAGGGCAGAAGGAGGTGTTTGTATAGACCAGAGGCGAGGATCATAAAACATCACCAGTTAAGTGTTTTGTCAAGGCTGGGAGAAGGAGGACAGAAGATAGTAAGAATTGACACAATCAGATTGATGTTTTCAAGGAATCAATCTGTTTGCCAAAGTGAACATTAGACAGTTCAGTCAGGGGGAGGTCATCAATAGCTTTAGGGTGAGTTTTAGTGACGTGATGGAGATAGATATTTGAATGCATGAAGTCAAGGAGGAAATTAATAGTGAATAAAAGAACACAGCAAATGGAGGAAGGTAATTAAGAATTTATTAAATATAAATCTATTATTTATTAGTCAATTCCAGGAGTAGTAAACTGTGAAATAATTTGTGTATGTGTAAACAATTGACTGAGTAATTATAAATGGAGAAAATTAATTCTGATGTGTTTAGGCTTGAATGTTTTGCTCATTGCATATACTTCAATCTAAAATTGTCAAGGTGCCCCCACTACCAGTATTTATAAATAGGTCAAATAATAGTCACTAAAGTAGTCTTAGATTGTGCACCAAATACAGTTGAATCATACTCTAACTGATCTGGCTTTTAACACAGGTCCTAGTTCCTAAATGGAATACGCTTCCTCTCATGGGGGAAATCTTGCAAAAGGGCCACTGTGACCACACATATGAATCTTATAGTTTATATCTCTTTTATAGACTAACACTCCAAATCTATAGCTTAAGATATTTACATATATTCCTAAAGAGAAGCATATATTTATATCTGTAATTTGAATTAGATGTGAAGGTAAGGAATTTTCTCCAATAGACTCTTTCAAAATTTTCCTTTAACCCCACCACAGTCTCCGGTTACTTTAAATGCACTGCTATCGAAGCATGTAGATTTTAACCCTATCCAAAATGGGCAAAAGTATAAAGCATCTTCAAAGCCTCTCCATCTCTTTTTTTGTTACATCAAATGTATCAGATCTAAATGCTTTTGCCATCACTTGCCACAGATGATAGCATGTTCTCATGCTGAAGTCAGTATAAAAGTTTATGATGTTATTGACTTCGCACAGTTTCATCAGACCTCAGTATTGTTGATTTAATGACTCTTTCCTCTTCCTTTTTTTTTTTTTAATTCAACTCCACAGTTAACCCATGGTTTATTGGCGTGCCAGAGCTCAAGGTTTTTACTACATATAAACAAACTTATTTCCAAGGAAGCCCACCCATAAATAACTCACCAACCATCCAAATGCAGAGCCAGAATATGATGAATATCAAGAAATTGGAGAAAACAAGCCTACGTATAACTGAAAACTCTTCTTGCTCTTTGCCTGTTGAGTATACTTCCTAGTAAATAAAAAAAAAAGTAATTTAAAGGAAAATGTCACCTGGCATGTAGTGTATCTGTGCCTCACAGCAGATGGCATGGTTCTGCATGGGGAGAGGGATGAAATGCCACATGCATGGCTGGAATGGAAGGATTTTGAGCAAGTGGTGTTCCTGGGAAGCTAGCCGGCAGGCTCTGACATTAACAGTTTTATTAAGTTCAGCTGTGGGCTGGAGCAGCCTTTGCTTCTAGTATTTGGTAGTGGTTTAATGGCTGTTCCTCTGTTTCATGCAGGGTAGTGTGAAAAGTAATTGTAGTGGGTGGCAAGGTTGATAGGATTGAGGTGGATGGGGAGATAATATGCTTTATTCTAACTGTTTCATGTACTCAAGAAGAAAGGGAAACATGGATGAATTACTCAAAGAGTGGGATTTAAAAAGAAATTATCTGAGACAGGTAACACTATGCCCCATATTGAAAATTGTCTAAATTATGGTTCCAATGAATCCTGCATTGTGTATAAAAATTGCACACCCTACTGTGAAGTCATAGTCCAGGAAGAAAGTGAGTTTGCAAACACACTGGCCTCTAAAGACGCTTAGCATGCATTTAGCAGCTTGATATTTGCAAATATTGGGGTGTCGTCTACATACACCAGGTGTGGCTTTTCTCTTGTTTCTCTTTCAAATGACTCTAAGAAGGCAAGAGATGAGACTGTATGATTTGAGTTTATTGTGCTATTTACCTGTTGACCACATTATGCAGTAATACCTGTTTGCTTTCTAAAGAGGTTGTTCTGATGTTTTCATATTTTGTCATTGTAAGACAGCCTTGGGTGATAATGGATTATGCTTTCAGCAGGTCAGTAGAGCTATTTGCTCCACTAATCATTTCCCCAAAGGACTGTAAACAGCATACAGCATGCATGGACTTCAGTGTAATCTCTCTGGATAGTGTAAATAGATGCCTGCTGGTTTCTGATAATAGTGTCTTCATTCCTTTTTAAGCTGGAAGAAAAAGATTCTGCCGTTGATGGACTGATAATTAGGTATGTATAGGATTGCAAGTTTTTGCATTTTCTCTTTGCTACTTAACATCAAGCATCACTAACGCAAGATGCAAATTATATCTACATTTGTGTGCCATGAAGCTTTTGGCTACACAATGCTAAAGTAACCACAGCAATGTGCCACATAGATGACAGTGGCCCTATAAAATTATAATGGAGCTGAAAAATTCTTATCACCTAGTGACATAGTAACTGCCATAATGTTGTAGCACACTTTCTTTATTTTTAAAATAAATGTTGTGTAGCCAAGGTGGACAGTGTTTATACAGTCTACAGCAGTGTACGGTAATGTCCTAGGCCTTCACATTTACTCACCACTCACTAATTTACTCACCTTTGTAAATGCCCTATACAGGTGAACCATTTTAAAAGATCTTTTATACCATATTTTTATTGTACCTTTTCTGTGTTTAGATACAGAAATACCATTGTGTTACAATTGCCTACAGTATTCCCTACAGTAACATACTATATAGGTTTGTAACCGAGAAGCATTAGGCTATTGCATATGGCCTAGGTATGTAGTAAGCTATACTATCTAGGTTTGTATAAGTACATTCTATGATGTTTGCACAAGGACAAAATTGCCTAATGATGCATTTTTTGGGACATATTCCTGTCTTTAAGTGATGCATGACTGTAGTTAATTTGATAAATGTAATAAAACCAGATATATATATATACATATATATATACGTATATATATACGTATATATACGTATATATATACGTATATATACATGTATATATGTGTATATATATACATGTATATATATGCATATATATACATATATACATATATACACATATACACACATATATACATACATATATATACACACATATATATACACACACACACATATATATATATATATATGGAAATTTCCTAATAATGTCTCCTGTTGAGCTAGTGATGTTAGTATTATATCAGCATAGCCTAAAACAAATACATTTTATTATGTATGAATGAAGAGATGTAATAACAGAAGGCTGTCAAAAGCCATATTTAGGTGGGTACCTTTATGCAAATACAAATTTTCTTATCCATTCCTCACATCATTTTGATCTCTTTTCTGTTTTCTTATCCCTTTTTGAAGCACAGCTACTCACACTAATACCTTTAAAATTATGACAAAAGACAGTTTCCAAAATGTTTATGTTGTTTTCCTTCTAAAGTAGAATAACAATTATTTTTAAAGCAATAATGGTTAAATATAAATAAACTTTAATGGGTATGGATGAAGTGCAAGTACACACATTACAGCTAAAATCCAAAATGCCTCTAGTACATTGCATATGGAATTACATTTTAAGTGACCTATTTTCTTAGTTACAAGAAATGTACTTTTTCCCACATTACTATAATTTTTTTTTTCCAAATTTTACTCCATTCCTTAGACAGGCAAAGATGGCAGGTGGTTAAATATGTAAAAATGGGAGATAAAATTAGAAATATAAATAAGCACAAATTTGGAGCTTCAGCAAAAAATAATTTGAGTATCTATGGAATGGTTTTTATATTTTTAAAGGACACTCTTTTTTTTTCCTTAAAAAAAAGTGTTTGTTTTCATCTACCAAAAAAAATGCCTAGAAATGTAACTTAGGCAATTTCACATTATGATTCCTGAGGTAAGGAAACTCTTCTCAAAACCAAGTCTATTGTATTAAACTGTAAAACCACCAACTCTGTTGTGGTTCTGCAGAAAAGAAAATTATGCTCCTTTCTACAGCCACCTCAAAATCCATGCCCTGATGGAACTTGCATTCCAGCTCTTTGAAACACCTTGACATTAACTCATTAAACTCATTATTTATTTCCTCCACTCCTTTTTTGTTTTTGTTTTTGTTTTTTCAGAGATGGGGGTGTTCCTATTTTGCCCAGGCTGGTCTCGAACTTCCGGGCTCAAGCAATCCTCCTGCTTCACCATCCAGAGTAGCTGGGATTTTAAGGGCCCACCACCCCTGGCTTTAACCCACTATTTGTAACTTAAAGCCACCCTCCCCTCACCTTCTCTTTCACGGAGGCATTTGTTTCCTGCAACATCTCAAAGCTGCTTTTTTACTGAATACTTTGGCAGAAAATGAAATTGACTAAATGGATAAATAGATGATAGACAGATAGATGATATTGACAAGAATTGTTGACTGGGATTTTATTCTAATTTCTAAAAATACTTAATTGGTATTGTTATATAAAGACAAGGACAGTTCATACTAGGATATCCTTTGGGAAATGTTCAGATTTGTGTCATAGGCATGTGGCCTTGTGCTTTGCATAGATCAAGAAAGATGATTTCATATATAGCAAATTCTAGCTTAATGTCACTATCATAAACACAACTTTCTTTGATCCTCATCATAGTTCTGTGAAGTCTTTACCATCCAGAGGAAATTTTAACAGTATTAAAAACAGGAGCTGTACTTGCGTCAAATAATCAGAAGAGGAAGGCAGCAAACAGCAACCTTAGGCCACTATAGTAGACATTCATTCTTTATATGCTAAATGTAGGAGGTTCAGGAGCTGCTAAGCCAAGGAGTAGATCAGCACAGGCATTGGTGTTGGGTGGGTGGTGGGGGAACTTGAAAGAGTAGACTCAAAGGGCTCAGGGTGGTGGCTATTTATTAACAAGTGTAGAAGTTTTTATTATCTTAATAAAAGGTATGGGCCAGGAGTGGTGGCTCACACCTGTAGTCTCAGCACTTTGGGAGGCTGAGGCCAGTGGATCGCTTGAGGTCAAGAATTTGAAACCAGCCTGGCCAACATGGTGAAACTCCATTTCTACTAAAATACAAAAATTAGCTGGGCGTGGTGGCATGCACCTGTAATCCCAGCTATTAGGGAGGCTGAGGCAGGAGAATCACTTGAACCCGGGAAGCAGGGGTTGCAGTAAGCCAAGATAGCACCATTGCACTCCAGCCTGAGCAACTGAGCGAGACAAAGTCTCAAAAAAAAAAAAAATATGAAACACTGATACATGTTGGTGAAAACCTACTCCTATGGTCTGAATGTTTGTGTCCCTCCAAATTCATGTTGAAATTTAATCTCCGATGCAATAGTGTTAAGACATAGGGATTTTAGGAGATGATTATGTCATGAGGCTCCACCCTCCTGATTGGGGTTAGTGCCCTTATAAAAGGGCTTGAGGGAGTCTGTTTGGCCCTTTTTGCCCCTTCTGCTTTCCTCATGAGGATGCAGCAAGAGGTGCCATCTTGAAAGCAGACAGTAGGAGCTTGGTCTTGGATTTTCTGGCTTCGGGAATTGTAAGAAATAAATTTCTATTATTTTCAAATTACCCAGCCTAAGGTATTTTGTTATAGCAACTCAAATAGACTAAGATACCTACCTTCATAATGTCTCTTAAATACGTTGTCTGCATGTATTATCTATGTTCTGTTTTTCTTTTCACATAAATGGAGAAGACAGTCTTATTGTGTTAATATTACCAGTTGAGGAGTTTGAAAGTTTATATCCTAGTCACAGCACCATCGCAAAATAAGTTCTATGATTTTGGTCAAAGCACTTATCTATTAGTTTCTTTTTCTGTAAAATGAGGATTATAGTATTTTTCTTGGGTATTTAAAAGAACTGTTGTGAAAGTCAGTAAGAGCTAACTTTTGAGTATTTAATGTATTGCTGGCCTTACAGTAAATGCCTTATGTGGAGTAACTCATTTAAATTTCTCAACAATCTGATGATACAGACACTTTCTTCTTCATTTTGTAGAGGAAAGAACTAGAACACAAAGTGGTGAAGAAATTGCCTAAGGTCACATAGATGAAAAGCCCTAGGACTCACATTTGAATTTGGGCGAGCGATCTCCAGAGTCTTCATGCTTAATCCCTATGCCCCAGTGCTGTCTTTGGAAGATGGCCTTTTGTAAAATAGAACACCTTATATATGTGGAAAACACTGTCACTTTCAATATTTTTATCATTACTTTTTTTTACAACTAGAAACAAAGTCTAAGAATATTTCTAGTGCTTCTAAGAATGATTATCAGCCCAATTTAAACGGTTGGCTTTGCAAACCATTTTCGATTATAGAATCTGTAGGAGTGCAATTGCTACACCCAGGTTTTATCTGTGGGTTGTTACTATTGGTGTATGTTTAGTTCATTTATATTAGGATCCATGCTTTGCCTCAGAGACTATAAAGGATCCTATTGAATGGCACAGATTTAACTTATCAAGAATCTCTGATGAAGTATTGGTGCATAATACTCAGGCTCAATAGTAGTACTAATAGTGAAACCGTTAACATTTGAGTGTTCCTCACATATTGAGAGCTGTGCTAAGCACTTTGAGTGGTCTACTGCATTTAGTCTTTCTAATAGAACTGTAGGATAATTTATTTTTATTATCACTAAATTACCGATGAAAAATCCTAGGTGTAAAGAGTTTAAATAGCACATGTAAGGTGGAGCATGACTCCAGTTCCACCCAATAAAACGCCAGTTTTCATTACAAAGCTGTATGTCACACAAGGTACCTACTGCCTATGAACTAACTAAGCTAAGAGTATATAAAAGATTCTAAAAATATATTTAGTGGATAAGCATGATCTATATATGGAGTTTTCAGCAAAGTAGCCCTAACATTACTTAAAATTATGCTAAAAAGGCCAGGTGCGGTGGCTCACGCCTGTAATCCCAGCACTTTGAGAGGCTGAGGTGGGCGTATCATGAGGTCAGGAGTTCAAGACCAGCCTGACCAACATGGTGAACCCCCATCTCTACTAAAAATACAAAAACTAGTTGGGCGTGGTGGTGCATGCCTGTAATCCCAGCTGCTCAGGAGGCTGAGGGAGGACAATCGCTTGAACCTAGGAGGTGGAGGTTGCAATGAGCTGAGATCACGCCACCGCACTCCAGCCTGTGTGACAGAGCAAGACTCTGTCTCAAAAAAAAAAAATTATGCTAAAAAATACAATTATTTTTAAAAATTATTATGCAGTGAGTGAGATTATATTTCTGGAAAATAACTCATTCTAAAATTAACCTGTAAAAGTAAAGACGCCTTAGGAAAAAAATGTTTAATCAAGAAAAACATGATTGGAATATAGTTGTAATCAGCAAGAAGAAACTCTCAAGAAATACTCTGTTAAATGTTGTTAATAGATTAAAGAGTGGTCAGCATGGCACCTAGAGAAAAGAAGAATTTGTTACTTTTTTCTGATATTCTGAGGAGCAGACTTTTTGCCTTTCCATTCATTCAAAAAACATTTATCTTATGCTTATTCTGTAAAAAGGTACTGTTGCAGAACTATTAACAAATCAAACCAAATCCCTGCCCTGATGGAACTTGCATTTTAGTGGAGGTAACACAAAATAAATACACCAATAAGTATATAATATCAGGTAGAGAAAAGTGCTTTGGAGACAAACAAAACAGGGTCAGGAGACAGCAAGTGATGTGGTGATATTGTTTTTGATGGGTTGGATTAGGAAGGATCTCTCTGAGGAGAGATGAGAATAAATTGAGAGCACAGGTCAGGAGTCTACCTGGGCAGGCAGAGGGCATTTGACAAAGGTAAATGTGAAGGCTTCAAGGCAGGCATGTGCCTGTGTGAGGAACAGCAAGGAGGTACATGCTGGAACAGAATGAGTAAGGGAGAACGTCGAGAGATGAAGACACAGGGCCAGAGGGCAGATCAGGGGAAGGGTTTTTTAGATCACGGTACAATTTTAAATTTTACTGTGTTATGAAACACTATTGGGTAATTTTATGCAGATGACATAATCTGACTTCAGTTTAGAAAGAATCACACTGGTTGTTTAATGGCGAATAAAGAATTTGAGGTCAAGGGTAAGAGAGTAAGCCCAGGCTATTGCAATAATCCAGGTGAGAAAAGGTGTTGATGTGGCCCATGGTATAAGTAGTGGAACTGGTTAGAGTGATTGGACTCAGAATATAGTTGAAAGTAAGAGTTAAAATGATAAGAAAAACACTACATAGTTATAGCTATAACTTTTCCACAGGAGAAGGAAAGTGGCATCTGCATAATCTATAATGTATGTTTCTCTTGATACTTAAAAAGCATGTTAACTTAGTAAAGGATCTGAGAAGTCCTGTAATGAAAGCACTTTAAATTATTTAACCTAAAATTTATCAAGTCAGTTTCACTTTGGAAATCCTTTTCTTCATGTAATAGTGGTTAATAGACACCAGAACTCACATTCTACATATACTTCAGAAAATGTGTCATTAAAATAATACAAATTATTACCATTTTTTTAAATTCAAGATCATCATGTACATTCCTGGATAAAAGTTGGTTTCTCATTTAGATTTCAGACAGGGAGAAAATGTGATTATGCAAGGAATGAAAACCCACTTTTTTCAGTAATTTATTATTGAAAAATAATTAATTGTGATTCTAGTTCACATTTATTATTCTAGTAACATTTATTCTATTTTTTATTCATTTAGTTAGCATGAGTTATTCTCCAGGAATTTGATCATTTCTAGGTACATTCAGACAAAACTGAATTCTATGTATATCAAGGGCCAGATTTTGATGACCGAAAGTATTAAGAGTGATACTTTGGCAAGAATCAGGAAATAAGTCTCAGCTGAAAATAATCAAAGTTTTACAGATTCATATACCTCAAAACTGAAGAATTAGGTCTCATTTTAGTCAGAGCTTCATGTGGCTTCCCCACAAACTTGACCAGAACTTATTTTTTCTTTCTACGTGTTTAATTCTGCTCCCAGGAGTTGATAACATTCTCATCAGCCTTCCCCTATAGTGATCTGAAAATGGCTACAGGGGATCTTGGGAGAACTTGCTCCCTCATTGTAACCCAAAGGGAAGAGAAAACATTTCCACAGAAGACTTGGATTTCTATCTCATTGAAACAGCTTAGGTCGTATGAACATCTATGAACCAGGAATGTAGAAATGCCAAAGTTATTTAGTCCTGAGGTACATAGATTTCATAGGGAAGACGGGTATTTAAATTAAAAGTTGGATGCTATTACAAAGGAAAAAGAGATGAATAAATTTGATGTGGCTCAAAACAGCAAAATTCTACTATACCTAGTTCCTATTTACCTACCACAATAAGCAGATAGTGTTGGTTTAAGTTTTGACTATTAAAATCTCATCCTAAGGGTTTTATTTATAATCCATTCTTTGTTTTCTTACAAAAAAATTTCTAAATTTTGTGTTTTTAAAAATTTTAGTATGTTATTCTGTTTTTTATTACCAATTTGTGCTTTCTGAAAACTAGTTTGATTTGTGGTGAAGACCCTGGCAAATTCTCTAGCTGTAATTGTCTAATTTATAGACAATGAAATGATTTATTATGCTTTCACAAAACTCTTTATGATGCAAAACAGTCTTAAAATTAAATACAATTTTTGTATATTAAGACAATCCATGTTCATGTTCTCCAATATTTCTGATTATCTTTGGTCAGTTGTCTTTGCTGTAATTTAACATATATTAGGCACATGATATAAAAATATGTTTATAATAAGGGACCTAAAATTATCTTTTTATCTGTCAGTGTCATGAATTGCCATGGTTTGCCATGGTTACCACGGGACTGTATGAAGGAGGACGAATGCAGAAATGAAAACTTAAAACAAAAGTAACTGTTTTAAAGGAAAGGTAACATGGGGAAGAAGAAGAGGGCTCCCTGCTTCTAGTGAGCAAGGGCAGCCCTGAGTTTCCACAGCCCTTCATAGTTATTGGGTAGAAAGAGCAGGGAGGAGGAGGTAATGATTGGTCAGCTGCTTGATTGATCACAGGTTCACATTATTGCTAACAGGCTTCAGATGTGCCTAATTAGCAGAAACACTGCAGTTGGGGCATGACTGCCCTCAGCATTCCTTCTGGGCGGCAGACACAGTTGTCAGCTTGCTAACATCCTGCATTTATGAGAACAGTTTGCTGTTTACTCATATAGCCTCCAGTGGTATACTGAGTTGATCACAACCCTTACTCTTTCGGCCTGCAACAATGAATGGCAAATGGTATGGAAAAAGTATTATAATCTGTGAGACTGAAATAACAGTGATTCCTTAGCATTATTTACTTTCTAATAGGGCTTAAGAAACTATGCAAATCATTAGTTTCATTCCTAGTTGGTTAAAAGTTACAAGTCAGACAAGAATCAAGCAAGTTTGAAAAAGACTATCTTTTATTGTTGTGTAATGACTCAACTGTAATCTTTTCATAGACTTGCAAATCACTGAGCCATGAAATCACTGAGAATGGTAGACCAATTCTTGATCATTACGTATTTTCCTGATGCCTACTGCTTCCATACGTGCTATTTCATCAGCATAGGTTATAGCTGTATCTATACCCAGGAGAAACATATGCAAATTTAACAAGAACTATACAATAGTTTTTTCTTATCTGCAGGGGATATGTTTCAAGACCACCAGTGGATGCCTGAAACATCAGGTAGTGTGAACCGTATACACATTATGTCTTTCCTATACATACATATCTATGATAAAGTTTAATTTCTAAATTAGGCACAGTAAGAGACTAACAACAATAACTAATAATAAAATAGAACATTCCTAACCATATACTGTAATAAAAGTTATGTGAATGCGTTCTCTCTTTCCCTCAAAAGATCTTACTGTTTTTGGACTGCAGTCTCAAAATATCTTAATGTTTTCGGACTGCGAAATTATGGCTAAAGTGGGACTATTATAATTATGTGTGGTATTCAAGGCAGTCCGCAGACCAGGGGTGGGCTCAAGGATGAATGCTACATGGTTTCTGCTCTTACGAAGCATATAGCGTGCTTCAAGGCTCAGGCACATGGACATCATTTTCCTTTTATTGTAATTAGCAAACTAAGGATAAAGTAGTGAGAATTCAGTAGAAGGATAAGAGGAGTATCAGTATTAGTCTGTTCTTGCATTGCTAAAAGAAATACCTGAGACTGGGTAACTTATAAAGAAAATACATTTAATTGTCTCATGGTTACACAAGCTGTACAGGAAGCATGATGCTGGGGTCTGCGTGGCCTGTGGGAATGCCTCAGGAAACATTAAATCACGGTGGAAGGCAAAGGGGAATCAGGCATGTCTTACATGGCAGGAGCAGGAACAAGTAGGGTGGGGGAGGTATACACACTTTTAAACAACCAGATCTCATAAACACCCACTCACTATCAGGAGAACAGGACCAAAGGGGAAATCCACCCCCATGATCCAATCACTTCCCACAAGGCCCCTCCTCTAACATTGGAGATTACAATTCAACATGAGATTTGGCTGGGGACAAAGATCCAACCCATATTATTCTGCCCTTGGCCCCTCCCAAATCTCATGTCCTTCTCGTGTTCTAAAATAACCATGTCTTGCCAACAGTTCTCTAAGTCTTAACTCACTCCAGGATTAACTCAAAAGTCCACAGTCCAACATCTCCTAAGACAAGGCTAGCCCCTTCTGCCTGTAAACCTGTAATATCAAAAACAAGTTAGTTACTTCCAGGATACAATGGGAGTATAGGCATTGGGTAAATATTACCATTCCAAAAGGGAGAAATCAGCCAAAAGCAAGGGGCTACAGACCCTATGAAAATCTGAAATTTAACAAGACAGTCAATAAATCTTAAGGCTCAAAAATAATCTCGTTTGACCTCATGTTTCATGTCCAGGGCACATTGGTACATAGGGTGGGCTCTAAGGACTTGGGAAGCTCTGCCTCTGTGGCACTGCAGGGCCCAGATCCCACGGCTGCTCTCAAGAGCTGACATTGAGTGCCTGTGGCTTTTCCAGGTGCACAGTGCAAGCTGTCAGTGTATCTACCATTCTAGGGTCTGGAGAATGGTGGCCCTCTTCTCACAGCTCCATTAGGCAGTACCCCAGTGGGGACTTTGTGTGGGTACTCCAACCCCACATTTCCTCTCCATACTGCCCTAGTAGAGGTTCTTCTTGTGGGCTGTACCTCTACAGCAGGCTTCTGTGTGGACATCCCGGTTTTTTCACACATCTTCTGAAATCTAGACAGAGGCTCCCAACCTCAACTCTTGCATTCTGTGCACCTGCAAGCTTCACGCAATGTGGAAGCTGCCAATGCTTACAGCTTGCACCCTCTGAAGCAGTGGCCCAAGCTGTACCTAGGCCCCTTCTAGCCACAGCTAGAGCTAGAACAGCTAGGATGCCGGAGGCAGTGTCTTGAGGCTGTGCAGGGCAGTGAGGCCCTGGGTCTTGCCCAGGAGACCATGCTGTCCTCCCAGGCCTCTGGGCCTGTGATGAGAGGGGCTACTGGGAGGTCTCTGAAAATGCTTTTGAGGTTTTCTCCCCATTGTCTTGGCTATCAGCACTTGCCTTCCTTTTAGTTATGCACATTTTTGCAGGTAGCTTGAATTCTTCCCCTGAAAATGGGCTTTTCTTTTCCACCACATGGCCAGGCTGCAAATTTTCCAAGCTTTTATTCTCTGCTTTCCTTTTAAATGTAAGTTTCAGTTGCAGGTCATTTCTTTGCTCACACATATGAGCACAGGTTGTTACAAGCAGCCAGGACAAATCTTGAATGCTCTGCTGCGTAAATATTTCCTCTGCCAGATACCCTAAATCATCTCTCTCAAATTCAAAGTTCCACAGATCCCTAGGGCAGGGGTAAAATACAATCAAGCTCTTTGCTAAGGTGTAACAAAAATGACCTTTGTTCCAGTTCCCAAGTTCCTCATCTCCATCTGAGATTTTATGAGCCTGAACTTCACTGTGCATATCACTATCAGAAGTTTGGTCACAACCATCTCACCAGTCTCTAGGAAGTACCAAACTTTCCTTCATCTTCTGGTTTTCTTCTAAGCCCTCCAGACTCTTCCAACTTCTGCCTGTTGCCCAGTTCCAAAGCTGCTTCCACATTTTCGGGTATCTTTATAGCAATACTTGACTCCTCAGTATCAATTTTCTGTATGAGTCCGTTATCACATTGCTATACAGAAATATCTGAGACTGGGTAACTTATAACTGGCTCATGGTTCCACAGGCTCTACCGGAAGCATGTTGCTGGCATCTCCCTGGCTTCTGGGGAAGCTTCAGGAGACTTTCAATCATGGTGGAAGGTGAACGGGAAGCAGGCATATCTTACATGGCTGGAGCAGGGGTTGGGGTGGAGGGGAGGTGCTTCACACTTTTAAACAACCAGATCTCATGAGCACTCAACCACTATCACAAAGATATGACCAAGGAGGAAATCTGTCCCAATGATACAATCACCTCCCACCAGGCCTGTTTTCCAACATTGGGGATTACAATTTGACGTGAGATTTGTGTGGGGACACGGATCCAAACCATATCAATACCCTTGGAGTTGGCACAGATAAACAAATATGCCTTTTTTTGTTTTTTTGTTTTTTGATGGAGTTTCTCTCTTGTCGCCCAGGCTGGAGTGCAATGGCACAATCTCAGCTCACTGCAACCTCAGCCTCCCAGGTTCAAGCAATTCTCCTGCCTCAGCCTCCCAAGTAGCTGGGATTACAGGTGCCTGCCACCATGCCCGAGTAATTTTTGTATTTTTAGTAGAGACGGGTTTCACCATGCTGGCCAGGCTGGTCTTGAACTCTGGACCTCAGGTGATCCACCTGCCTTTGCCTCCCAAAGTGCTGGGATTACAGGCATGAGCCACTGTGCCCAGCCACAAATATGTCTTTTAGAAAGGATGAGAGGTGTGTAATACCAGAGGTCAGGACACCTCATATATTACAACAACCAAACACAGTATCACTTGAGCTAAATCTCTTGACCTCTCTAGCTGGTATTCCTGCAAAAGAATAATTTTCTTTTTTGTCTATACATTCCCATTCCCATCTTTACATTTAGTGGTAGGTCCCCAACCCCAATACACACAAGGAATGGTTCTCAAGCAACGCTTGTTATGAAATGAATACAGTTATAAAACATGGCGTGTACACTGGGTGGCCCCTAAATGCTTTTCCAGAGCTAGTGTTCAACGATTCTAAGAGAATTTGGCATGCCCTTGTGTTCCTGTGTTATCTCTGAGTCTCTTGCTTTCTTACATAGACAGGGTGTTTGTAAGGAGAGCAGGCCCAGAAGCAAGGAGCAGAATGATAATTCATGATTAACAGGAACGCCACCTGCCTAAAGATGTCCTTCCTGAGAAAGGTCAGCTCTTGCTATGAGTAAGTATACTTCTCTGGCAGGGTGAAAATACTAGACTACTTTCTCTCTTTCCTCCCTATATTTTTCTTTTGTACTGTTGCCTCTGCAAATGTTGATTTCTTGTGAAAACATGAAAGGTCAGAAGTGAGCGTGTTAAGGAGAGGTGGATGCATTTCTTTTTCATTTGTATTTATATAGCTAAGGAAGATTGAGCTAGAATAGAAGTTGATCCATGTTATTGAACTGTGGGGCTGACACTTTGAGCACTGAAGCTGCTGTCTTCTTGGATAAGACTATTACAAGAGAGGGAAGAGATAGCAAATGTTTTTCAGAATAATGATTTAGAGGCAGTAGAAGAAAATGAGTGAACATTAGGAGGTCCAGTGATACATTAACTGGTCAGTCACACTTAGGCGAACAAAATTCAGCTCCCTAAAAGCTCCTGCCTATAGAGGTAAATAGAAAGAGGAGATAAAATGAGAGTTATACACAGGAGGCAGCCCAGCAAGAACTGTTTCAGCCATAGAAAACATTCGGGTTCAGTTCCAACAAGACAAAGGCAGCTACACATTTGAACAGCACGTTAGTAAAAATATATAAAGGAAAATATACTGAACTCATATGAAGCCATTTCTCCATGGGGTTAAGGATTAGTGGCTAGGCTGATGCACAGATTTATAGATGTTAGAGTAGCTGAGGTGATGATAGCTCTTTTATGATGCTTACCAATCTTTATTGTTTACCTTTTGAAGAAATATTTAGCTTGCTTTATTACTGTTTATTTTGGCTACTTAAGTAAAGACAACAGTGGCTGCTAAGAACTCACTGACGTATACACACATCAAGGCTGTGCTGATGACTTCTTTTATTTACTCCAGGAAGCCCCTACCCACACTCATCAGTTGAGGTATGTTGGTACAAAGTAAATTAATTTACAACAGTAGTCGCTAATTTTTTTTTATTTCTCAGAGCACAAGAATATAAACTGCACATACTTATACATACAGACATACGTATAGTTGTCCACTTTTAATTTCACTATGATTTTAAAATAAGCAAGCAGTGTTATTAGTTTTATAATTTTTATAGAACATTTTAATACAAAAGACGAAGGATATACTCAGAATAAATGGCAGCTATCTATTGAACAAATTTAATTACGAAAAATTCATTAAATTGACCTCATTTTCTCATGCCACACACATTTGAAAAATTAATTATGGATTGGCATCAATCCTTGGTTGGCATTTGTGATATTATGACCCGTGGCACAGATACTTGGCCCAGGGTAAATTTACCCTCTCTCTTCTCTTTCTGTTTCACTTTTTTATTTTATTCTGTCTGCTCCTCTTCTTCCATTTTTCCTCCTTTGTGTCTCCCATGACTTGGGATACAAGAGACACAATTCATATGTTCTCACATCAAGGTTGCTGACAGCTGTATTAGAAGCTTTTCCTGAGTTGTTAAAATATGTGCTATCTAGACAAGATCAGGTGAGTTCAGGTATTTTCAGCGAAATAACTCAGAAACAGAAAGTCAAATGCCATGTGTTCTCACTTACAAGTGGGAGCTAAATAATGTGTATACATGGACACAGAGTGTGGAAAAATAGACATTGGAGACTCTGAAGAATGGGATGGTGGCAGGGGTGAGGGATGAGAAATTACCTAATGGGTGCAATATACATTATTCAGGTGATGCTTACACTAAAACTCAAACTTCACTGCTACACCATATATCCATGGGACAAAACAACACTTGTGCCCCCTAAATATATACAAAGAAAAAATAAACCTAAAAAGTAAATTAGAAAATATGTCCTATCTATGTTGCTATTCAGTTAAACAATGAGACAAGCTTTCAGTCCTAGGCTAGGAATGACTAAGTGAAAACTCATTTGGGGTAGAGGGTGAGAAATGCTCAGTGCTGAGATAGGACTGAAGAGCTAAGTGTAAAGCTGGGGTGAGGGCATGGGACGTTTTGGAAAGTCAGCTATCTAGAAAACAGAACTGACACCAAAGTCCAGGCAAGACAGTATTAAAGGCAGACAAGAATCATAGAGCAGGTGTGGACACTAGGGCTGCAGTGAAAACAACTGGGAGTAACATACAAGAATAGGGATTGTTTGTGATTTGTACCTGCTATTTTTGAATTCTCAAGGTTTCCGACACTGTCTTCAAAATCACATTAAAAGGAAATGAGCCCCAAAACATTGGCTATATTTTTATTTTAATTGAGTTTAGTAACCTTTTATAATTTACAAAAATTCTGAGCAGCCTGAGAGTCTTCTTAAGTTAATTCTCTTCAAACGGTGATTATTTTCCACTGCCTTTGGAATGTTCCATTTGGTTATCATGTGAGCACAGTAACATCTGACTGTCTCAACCAGTTAACCCAGTCTACTCGGCACTCCTTCCTTATTTCCCTTTTCAACAAATACTATTCTTATTCTCTTAGTCAGCCATAGGTAAAAGTTCATGCTTCACTTGGACTCCTCACCCCACTTCACACCTGACCCACAATATTTGTTGCTATGTGTGCTTGATTCCATATTTTTGTATCATTATTAAAATCACCTTCCCTCTCAGCATGTCCACTTTGACTCTAACTTAGGGCATGATTCCCTCTTGCCTGCATTTTTAACAATACTGGTTTTATGTGTTGCTTTTTCTTCAGTCAACTGTTATATTAATCTTTCTGAAGTTCAATTTTAAACATATTATTTCAACTTCAGTGTCTCCTTATTGCCTATGAGACAAGACTCGAATTTATCAGCCTAATGCTTAATATCTTCACGATTGATTTTATCTTCTCATTCCAATCTTACTTTGACTAGAGGATTCTTATCACCATAGAAAAATGCTTTTATTTTTCATCTTACAAAAAAAACCTGCAAAAGAAAGGAAAATCATGTGTGGATCAACTATCTCCCTAACTCTATGCTTGTCTCTTTCTATCTGTTCTCAACACAGCAGATAGGCTGATCATTTAAAAATACAAATCTAATCAGTCTCCTCTTCTGGTCACACCCCTCCAGTGGCTTCCTATTTTTTTTTTTATGAAGTCTTGCTTTATTGCCCAGGATGGAGTGCAGTGGCGCAATCCTGGCTCACTGCAACCTTTGCCTCCCAGGTTCAAGCAATCCTCATGCCTCAGCCTCCTGAGTAGCTGCGACTGTAGACATACACTACTACATCCAATTAATTTTGTATTTTTTGTAGTGACAGGGCTTCGCCTTGTTGACCAGGCTGGTCTTGAACTCCTGACCTCAAGTGGTCTGTCCATCTCAGCCTCCCAAAGTGCTGGGATTACAGGCGTGAGCCACCGCCCCCAGCCCCTCTGATGGCTTCCTAATGGTCTCAGAGTAAAAGTCCCTCTCTTCCACAAGGCCCTCCATGAACTGGCCTCTGGTATCCTTGTTGCCCTCATTTACTGTCAGGTCTTATTACCCTCCTATTCCAGGCTTGCTTCCAGTTTTGGGCTTCTGCATTGGCTTTTTTTTCTTTTTTATTCAGATTAGGATGATTTTCACTCACACATCTATTAATACATGATTAGCTCAGGTTTTGATTCAAAAGTCACCTTCCTAGTCAACTTTTCTCCCAACATTTTGTTTCGTTTTTTGTGTTCCTATCTTTCTTTTTATAATCTTCTCCTATAATATGTATTTCAAACTGTAGACCTTGTGTAGTATCTGGCAACTCAGTAGACTCATGACAAGAGTTTTTGTCTGTGGTGTCCACTCCTATACCCTAGAACCTAGAATAGAGTCTAGCACATTGTGAGTATTCAACAGCTAACTGTTGAATAAATAAATATACTTTCTGCCAGGCATGGTGACTCATGCCTGTAATCCCAGCACTTTGGGAGGCCCAGGTGGGTGGATCACTTGAGGGCAGGAGTTTGAGACCAACCTGGCCAACTTAGCGAAACCCCATCTCTACTAAAAATACAAAAGTTAGCCGGGTGTGGTGGCAGGTGCCTGTAATCCCAACTAATGGGAGGCCGAGGCATGAGGCTAAGGCATGAGAATTGCTTGAACCTGGAGGCAGAGATTACAGTGAGCTGAGATCCTGTCACTGCACTCCAGCCTGGGTAACAGAGCAAGACTCTGTCTCAAAAAAAATAAGAAATAAAAAATAAATGTACTTTCTACTATTTACCCTTTGCTCCAGAAAAAGATAGACATGCTGTTCGCAGATGCACATTGTACCTTTTGCATGTTAGGTTTGGGTCTTTTATTTTCTTATATCACTTGTATGTATTTCTTCCTGATTTTTTTTATGATTCTTTTCATTTCTTTCATTTTTTGGCAACCTAAACATACAGAGAACGCCTCAAGAAGCTTTGTGTATTTCCATTTCTTTAGTTGCCCCTCTCCCCACCTCATTATGATAATTAAGCTACTGAAGTTGTGTGGCCTAAAGAGATAAAGGGGGTAGTTAAGACCATGGCATTCCCATAGCCTTTCACATCCACAGCCCCACCCCCACCTCGATTTCTACCACAGCTATCTAATATACTTGGATTACACACACATGTGTGTGCACACACAAACACACACACACACACACATACAGATAGACAACTTTTCTCTGGCAAAATTATTGTTCTTAAAGATATTTTAAAAAACTGAATACATGACTTAAATGAGTCCCCAAATTTTCAGTTTCCAGTTTTCTTTTGAACCAAATTCCAGAGCCCATCTATGATTCTTTTTTCAACTTGATGATTTCCAAGTTATGATCCCTGTCTAGGTTTAAGTTTTCCAAATAAAATTATAGATAACAGAGCTGCAAAGATGCTTTTTGAATTCCTGTCCAGTATCGTCTTTTCACAGATGATAAAAATAGGTCCTAAGAAGGACTGATTTGTTCACATTCACACACTTAGTAGGAAATTCAAAAGATCAAAAATCAGGTATTGGTTTCAAGAAAAATGCACATTCTGTACTCTATTTTGCCAAATTAATCAGTATTTTCTTTTACCTAAAATTTTAGTATGAAATGTACATTCCTCAGTCCATTGAGAAGCAGAACTTAACTCAAGTTCAATCAAGGATTTACCAATATGCTGCTTTTTACAGGTTAAGGTTCCTAGCAGCTATTTTAATAGCAGAAGATTTCTATTTGTGTTTGGTCTAGCCGAGATGCTGGTTTTAAAGTCTGTATTACAGTGATATAGTGGTAAAGAGATAATAAGAAAGCAATGGAAAACAAAGTCTGTGAAGGTGAATTGTATAGGAGATGTGTGAGAAAAAATTAGTTACCTATCAAGCCCAGAAGAATCAAAATGATGTAGAATGGTCAGTAGGGTTCAAAAGAAAGATCATGGACTTTAGAAACATCCATGTGACTTAACTTCCTTCTCTGTCATCTACAGTGTGTGACCTTGGACAAGCTACTTAATATTTCTCAGCTTTGGTTTCTCATCAAACATTAAAATGGCAACAACGATAGCTGTATAGATTAAATTAGATAAATTATGTAAGGGACGCCACTTCAGAGTACTCTTTTAATAAATGGTGGGTATTGGTAATTGAGTAACACAACTAGACTAATAATATAACATTAGCAGAGAATATATTCCATTATTAATATGACTTCTAATGTCAGACACACAGACCGAATAATCTTACCTGGCTTTGCTATAAAAGGTTGCATCAGTTGTATCTTTATGATGAAACTCTAATGGCCCTGAGACTTCCCATACCGGTATATCTGCCTCTGCCAGTCTTAATGAGGAGATGCCTAGCACATAACATAGACCACATTTTTGTTTTCCTATCTTTAAGTTGAAATATATGTGGCATCTATCATTTAATATTCCTCGCTTGCAACCTTGTAAGGCTCTTCTGAGGATGCATGACTGTGTTTTATTTTATTTGTTTAGTTTAGGCAGAAGGAACAAAGCAGACAAGTCTACCCATGCCATCAGTTTTCTGAGCCAAAATCAAATGCCTCAGCAAGATTAATGTGATTTATATGCAGATTCCTGAAAGGAAGAGGGAAATGCTGACCTCCTGTTCCACTCACTGGAATCTCCCTGGACTCTGGAATAGGGAGTTTAAAATATTAATGCCTTGAATAATAAATTACAGTACATAGTAAATGAGGTACGAGCACAACAATTTTAATTAGTTTTAGGCACATTTTAATGATTGTTTGGCCATTAACTTCAGTAAACATAAAAATGCACAGGAAAAGATGTATGAGCTCCTTATTACTTAGCTTTGTTTTAACTGAAGGCTTTGCAAAGATGTATATCATTTTAATTTTGGTTCCAGAGGCTTTTATGTAAATTAATTGCATTGGAGAATTGGCAAGAACATTTTATTCAATTTGGAACAGCAGTGATTATAAGCTTCACATTAATATAACAACAATTTAACAATGGCTGATAGATGGGCCACAGCCATGCAATTATCAAAAGTGAGCCACTCTCTTGATCTCTAATTAGGTCTATAAGCAAATAGAGTTTTGCCGGCACTAATTGCCATATTAAAGCTGGCAGTGAGGTAGTAAGTGCTCTCATGTTAAGGTAGTCAGCACAGGGTGCTGTTTATCCAAAGATTTTTCCATTTTCTGATTTAATCAGATACGTAATTCAATTATGTATGTTGTTGAAATAGATATTTAAGTGAATTGGAAAGCATTCTCCCCCTTGATCTACACAACCATGCATCTTGTTAACTGCAGACATCAGTGTTTTAAGTCTAAAACATAAGTGGTAGGCTACACTTTTTTTTTTCTCACTGTCATTACTACCTGTTCAGATGTCTGTCCTGTCATACCTCTGACTCAGTACCTAGGATGTCTGGTGCTATGTGCCAGACAGATGTGTGCATGGAAGAAGATGTACAATGCCTTGATTTGTTGCTCCATTTTAGCAGGCATTAAAAAGCACTCAAAAGGGATTTGGAAGGCATTTGAGCACCAGGCTAGATATTGTGGGACCAATTTTAAAGAACCCAGAAAATCCCTTTATTCCTTTCAGTCTTTGTCTAAAATCTTGGTCCATTGTGCAGCAAAGGCTATTTGTTTTATTTTCTACTTCAGCTTATTCCAATGTGTACATCAATAACATTAAAAAAAGAGATTTTCATTTAGGGATCTGTGTGAGTTTAAACTAAATCTGGAAAAGGCAATTTTCTAGGGAAGAGCCTAAAAGAAAAAGTCAACCCAGGGAGATTGCTAAGAAAGTAGATTTTAAGTGTTCTCACCACAGAAAAAATGATAAGTATGTGAGGGAATGCATATGTTAATTATCTCAATTTAGCCGTTTTATGGTGTATTACATACATAAAAACATCATGTTTTACACTATAAATATATACAACTTTTATTTGTCAATTTTTAAAAAAAGACCCTATAATGGTAGTTTTCTAAAAGGAAACCAACTTTTTAAAAAAATATGACTCTAATTGAAAAGAACAAATTATCCTACCCCCATCCAAAATAGCAATTGAGAGACATGAGTGTCTTTGGTAAATAACTTCATAGAATCCTATCGAGGAATAATTCCAAATCTTTGATCAGGACTTTTATGTCCATGGTAGTGGTCATGAAGAGAAATAAGCCACAAAGACCCCATAGGGTAAAATTTGAAAGCAGAAGATGAATATTTGTGCAAGAGTATGTGAACTATTCAAACCATTGTATAGAGAGACATCTTGAAACATATGAGACAGTTAGAAAGACATATATTCTTTTTACTTTTATTGGTTTGTGCTTTACTGTCACTGATAATTACTATTTATTACAGGAAATTGTGCATGTTTGTATTTGTGTGTATTTGCATTTGATTTAACTGTTAGTCACAGGACAATTAAGAGTATGAATTTATGTGCCTATAACTCACACAGGGAGGGAGATCTCAAAGGAGGCTCAGACTCAGCATTTCTGGGTCACGCATAGAATAGCTGTGCTACTTAAGAAGGCAAAGTCCTCCTCTGAGCTATTCTTGAGGCTTGAGGTAACAATGACCAGCTGTGACGAAGCTGACAAAAGCATTATGTCCTCCTGTTCACTACCTTGACTTACTGGCCCAGGCCTATGGAACCCACTGCTACCCTCCAGATAGTGGATAGAGTTCCCAGAAGACAGGTATCAATTTACACAGTACAGATTAGAAGAATGAAATCATCCCAGAAAGAGAAAGGAACCCTGATATGGTTTGGCTCTGTGTACCCACCCAAATCTCATCTTGTAGCTCCCATAATTCCCATGTGTTGTGGGAGGGACCCAGTGGGAGATAATGGAATCATGGGGAGCAGATCTTTCCCCTGCTGTTCTCATGATAGTGAATGAGTCTCATGAGATCTGATGGTTTTAAAAACGGGAATTTCCCTGCGCAAGCTCTCTCTCTTTGCCTGCTGCCATCCATGTAAGACGTGACTTGCTCCCCCTTGCCTTCTGCCATGATTGTAAGTTCCCCAGCCATGTGGAACTGTAAGTCCACTAAACCTCTTTCTTGTCTAAATTGCCTAGTCTTGGGTATGTCTTTTTCAGCAGTGTGAAAATGGAATAATACAAACCCTAAGGTGAGGGAAATGAGGTTAAGAAGATGAGTGTCTCCAGAAGAATATCCCAGCAAGGGATCAGCTTCTTAGCTGCTTTTCCAGAATGATGGGTAAAGCAATAGCAGGCACACAGTTTCAATTTTTCTCCTTGGTTGCAGTTCACCCAAATTATCCCAGTCCTTGGGTGAAATCATTAATACCCATATATCCTTGTAGAATTGTGTTGTGGGGAATGAGAAACAGCAAAGAGAACTATGGCCTGTCCTAAACCTGAGGTCTGGCCCTCATGAAAACATGTCATCCTGTTGAGGGCCTGTGTCCAGAAAACCTCCCAGATGCTAACTGGCAGCAGAGTGATCAGCTAGCCATGCAGCTGAGAGAGGGAGAGGGGCAGCTTCTTGCAGAATCATTCTGGAGGGTCTGCTGGAGTCAGGTAAGCCTTGCAGGTAGTTGGGGAGAAGCAGGATGCTATGCTTCTCTCCAGGTTACGTAATTTCAGGACTTAAAAATAAACATTCAACATGGGCACGTGTGTGTGTGTGTGTAGCAGAAAGGGCACCTAATTTGGGGCAAGCATCATTCCAAGTGTTATATTTGGAATAGGTCCAAATTTGATTGCTTTTTGCAGAGTATTATTATTTTCTTGTGATTGATGCCTGTGACCAAGAAAAGACCAGTACTTGTAGCTTGGTGACAATTCAGGCAACTTGGTCTTTACGATAACTAAGAAAGCCCTCCCTTTGTATTTTAATATAAATTTAAAAATTATTAACTTCTTTTTTGACTTCTTATTGCATGCCAGAATCTTTGTCAAATATGCATATATGTCTGGATGTGTGTATATGTAATAATTAATTTAATTCTTACACTATCTCTAAAATGTTAGTATTATTATCTCTGTAAATAAAGAAACTGAGGTGAAAGGAGGGTAAATTGCTGTTCAAGAACTCAGGGCTGGCTGATCCCCCAAACCATGCATCTTTTTTTCTAGCAGGTTGCTTTCCTGTTACATATCTGGTGTAGCTTGAGGCATATTACATTTTTAAGAAAACTGTGCCTGCGACCATTTATAAATGCCAATATCTTATCCTCCTGTCAGCTAGCCACAGAGTTGTTCTTACCCACAGGTAAACAGAGCCATACAGTTGTGACCTATGGGGCACTAAAATGCTTGTTATTCCCTCAAACCTACCAGGAAGTCTAAAAATCTAATACTTTAAAAGTCTAATATTATAACATGATGTCTTAGGAAGGTATCATTATGGATTACTGGAAACAACACTGTCTCACAAAGGTCAGAATAGCCAGGTTCTTGGGCTTCAGGCTCCTCATTGATAAAAGAGTTTCTAGAACCAATAGTCTTCAAATTTCCCTCTTGTTACAAAGTTCAATATGTGTTTGATGTTATTTGTATTAAGATTTTGTGTCTTTTTGGAAAGATGACATATTAACCACAGATTACAAGGACTGATATCTGCATATTAATTTCTTACCATCACCTAACAAAGAGCAATCCCTTAAGCAAAATGGTAGAAGGGTACGTAATCACCGTGAGCTTATATTGTAGGAAAAGAGTGAAAGAGTAGTCAGTTGTTGTAGGAGGGTAGTTAAGACATCATAGAATGCAACTCTGTGCTTCTTAGAAAATGTGTGATATCTGTGGGTGTCAAGAAGATGAAATACAAAGCAGCAGAAAAATATATGCCTGAGCAACAGTCTCCACTCATAGGAAAGAGAGGTGGGCAGTACAGGTTGCCTTATTTAGAAAACTGTACCTTGAAGTGGTCCTGACTAGGAATGATGCTCAGGAAGCCTAACAATGGAGAGTTTCAGCTCAGAGTCTTGATTCCAGTTTGTATTTAATTCTGCCTTGCTTGATGTCTGCTTTTTTATAAGTCCTTCACCTATGGGCCAGTAGTAACTTGCACAGCCAGAAATTCCTGATGCTGAGAACCAGCCAAGAAGTCAAGAAGCCACTGAAAGTTGGACTCTTGGCTTCATGCCTCCTGCTCTAGTCTTATGTTAGTACCTGAGAGGTCTAGCAAGGTCTCCATCCCCAAATCCTATTGCCAACTTACTTGGCAAGAGACATGCATCACTGGATTAAGGCTAAATGGTCATCTTTTTCATTTTAATGTTCTTGCCCTTAATTAATAGTTTAGTCTTTCAGGCCTTCATTTGTTACACTTAAATGAATTTTGTAATTAGCTTTGCATCTCAGGTTTGTTTCTCCATTTAAGTCTAGAAAAGCAGCCAATTAGTTCTATTTTCCCATTCTGTCTCACTTTTTTAGAACAATTTCCCAATGTCTAATTGCTTAAGTACAACTAATATAATCCAACGAGATCATAAACTGGGCACTGCTTAGTGCCCACGAAGTACTTAGTGCCTCACTAAGTAAGCTGGCACTTGGTTAAAAGATTATTGAATTTATCAAGCATTTGGCCCAGTACAGCTCCTAACAAATGCATTTTGAGGATATGACAGTCCTGGTGAGTGAGTTAAGACTCATTATTTGGGTTGCTACTGCCCTTGCATGAAAACTGTGATTGTTGTCAAGTCCATTAGCTGCTTTACAAAACAAGAGCTGTCATTTCATTAAGCTGCCTTACACATATCAACAGCTCCAGGGTGAATTCTGGTCACTTCTTGTCTATGTCACAATTCTTTCTGAAAGCTGACTTCCCCTGGTGTGTGCCGGCAGCCTACAAGTCTTCATTGTATAAGGAGATTCCATGAATCTAACAGAAGAAGAAGCAACTGGTTTAAAAATCACTGAAAGGCCAAGGCGGGCAGATTACGTGAGGTCAGGAGTTCAAGACCAGCCTGGCCAACATGGTGAAACCCTGTCTCTACTAAAAATACAAAAAATGAGCTGGGTGTGGTGGCACGCCTGTAGTCCCAGCTACTCGGGAGCCTGAGGTAGGAGAATCGCTTGAACCCAGGAGGCAGAGGTTGCAGTAAGCCGAGATCATGTCACTGCATTCCAGCCTGGACAACAGAGCAAGGCTCCATCACAAAACAAACAAACAAACAAAAAAAATCATAGAAAGTTTGATTTTAAAAATTTTGCCTTCTTAGTCAAGTATCAATTAGTAAAGAAAGAACAAAAAAATTGAAATTAGAGCATTACGTGATAAACTCAGTTCACTTTTTGGTTAAGAGTAGAGCAGGCAGTGTATTTCAGAAATCTACTTTGCAATCCAGTGTTCTTTCTGAGAAATCACACACTGTCCCTCTGATGGCCTTCATGTCTTAATTTCTTTAGATCTTCATTTACTTAATAAATATATACCGAGTCCTTCTTTTATGCCAGGTATTATTTCAGAGCTGGAGTTATGTCAGTGAACAAGACTGAGTTCCTGCCTTCACAGAACTTAAGTTCTAGCTAGATAGACCAATCAATATAAAGTATGATATTACATGATGTTAAGTAAAATAAACCAGGGTAATGGGGATAGAGTATAATGAAGTGCCCTTTAAGATAAGGGGTTAGAAAAGGCCTCTTTGAGGCTGCCTTGTGAGGGCAGTGCTTTAGCTGAACTGAGGGTAAACAACAAGCCACGCAGAGAGGAAAATTGCAAAGACCCCGAGGAAAAAATAAATTCTGTATGTTTGTGTTCACGAATTAGCAATGAGGCCAGTGTGTTCGGAACAGTGAAGGTTGCTTAGAATAGTAGGAGATAAGTGCATATTTATAGATAATGATTATTTCTGCTTCCTCTATGAGTAGAATTGCAATTCCACTGAATGCAGAAAGAGAACATTTATCCTATTAAGAAGACTGATAAGTGGCTTCATAATCTGGAAATATTAAATTTTCTCAATGATAAAAGACCAATTCAAACCCACATGACTACTGAGGCCAATATTGTCTTTTAATTTCAACCTAAATTGGCTGAGCGCCAACTGTGTGTGAGGCTCTGGAAGACACACAGTGAAGCAGAAACTAACATTCTTTCTTTACAAATGAGTGCCCAAAAAGTAAAAAAAAAAAAAATAGAACAAGTAGGAGAAAACATTAAAAAGACAGAATATGAGGTATCATCGAAGATGTCAAAAGTGCTGAGATGTTCAGTGGGAGGATGGAATGTAGCTTGCTGAAAGATGCAGACAGGTGTGATAAAGAAAGGTGCCATACCGACTGGGAGTAAATGAAGAGCAAGACATTGACCCGTAAGAGACAGGTTACCTGGGAACTGTTACAAGCTGAGGAAATAGTATTAGTAAAGGCAGGAATGTGGGTAAGAGAGATACTTGTCTTGGAACAGAGTCCAACTAGTTGGAACATAGGATAAGGGAATATGGTCGATAAAGTCAACAAATTAATGCAGAGCTTTAATACTTTAATTAGGAACTTGACCCTAATTAATTAGGCACTACAGAGCTATTAAAGGTTTTGCATCAGAGAGGCAATGATGACAAAGAGAATGAGTTACATTCCCTTTGTCCTTTATGCAGTTATCATTGAGGAATTTAGGCATATTGGTGCTTTTCTAACTTTTTTAAACTTTGAAACTTTCTTGCCCATTGAAATATTTCAAAAAGACTCAAATCTATAGACAGGTAAAAATAGAATTTATTTGTTTTGAAATAGGATACAAATTCCTGACTTCTTAACCCCTTTCTTTACATCTCAAGATGTCCCAAAGGCATTTTCAAGGAAACTTAGAACTATGAGAAAAACAGTTTGAAAACCATTGAACCAAAGCATCTTGAATCTACTTTCATTTTCTAACCACTTTTTAGGAGAGATTAACTTTCATTTGGTAAAATGTTGCATTAACTTTTCCTTCTCTTAAAAGGTATTTCTTTCAAAAATCAATGCGTTGTCAGCACACACACAACTTATACCCCATCCACTGTAATATCTGAGATTGGATCATGAAGCTCACAGCTACCTAGATAACCGAGGCCAAGTAGAAGATTCAAGTCAATCAGATTAATAGCTTATAAGAGGCTTCAGAACCTTAGGATAATATAATTTGAATTTTAAAAGTGGTTTCCCTGGCTCTAAAAAAACTTAAGGAAGTGTCAGCCAAGAGTTAATACGATCCATTCTTTTTAAAAGGTTATTTTCCCAGGAGGGGCTCACTTCTGTTTTTACAAACATGAATCTTCTGAGTACCTGAAAATGGAAGTGAGGATGAGGTCAGTAGAGATCTTATTTTGGTAGATGAGCCCATCAAAAAGAGCAGAAATGAATTTAGACTCACCTACTTCTCCACTATACACATCTTAACATAGAGCCTGGGTGTGAATTAACAGCAAAACATTTATTTGTGCATCAATCTGTTCAAATTTGTCGCTCTGGTTCAAAAAGAGAGAAAATTGAAGAATTTCTGCATTCTCACAAATGTTATTCTCTTCATTTTTCACAGTTGCTTCTGTACACTCTTCAACTGTGCTGACTTCCCCCAGAGAATTCAGACACCTCTCTAAAAAGATGCCTGTTGTGGGAGTCGGAGGGTTGCAGTGAGCTGCGATCACGCCACTGCACTCCAGCCTGGTAACAAAGCGAGACTCCATCTCAAACAAACAAACAAACAAAAAATGCCTGTTTTGGGAGTCGGAGGGTTGCAGTGAGCTGCGATCACGCCACTGCACTCCAGCCTGGTAACAAAGCGAGACTCCATCTCAAAAAAAAAAAAAAAAAATGCCTGTAGTGGTTGCTATCAATTCTGGGTGCCTGGCAGAACACCCCTTTACATACCAGCCTCCCCTGTGGAGTTGGTGTAAGATTGAAGAAGTACGATGAGAAGATGGCATAACTTCATGCTTGTGGAGCAACGGTGGGCTTCGATCTGCTCTGTCTCATTCTAACAATTATTTCTGCACATGAACACATGTCCTCTCCAGTGGGCTCTGCAGTTTGCTCTTCAAAACTTATTCTACCAGCCTCCAATTCTGAAGCAGAGAAATGGCTTGAAGAATAAATCTTAGGCTGAATCTTTATTGGCCTTTGTCTTTCCCATATCAAGAATGGTCCAATGAGTCCCAAAAGGGCAGACTTTGTGGTTTGTGTAGCTTTGACATGTTTATTCCAGGGCTCAACTTACACCTGACTTGAAGATTTATTTTTCTTTCTTTCCAAAAGCGAGGATGGCTGTTTAAATGAAAATGAGGTAGCCCAAGGAAGAAGATGTAAGTTAGAGACTGTGTTTTGCTTTGCCAGGACAGTAAAATATTAACAGATAAAATCAGGAATTCTAGGCTCAGGGCCAGGCATAATTACTTACTAATTCCATAATATTTTAGATAGCTTAAGTTTCTTGAACATCTACTGCTTTCTCAGTGAATTGGGAAAGAAAATAGTTTCTGCCTCACAGGATTATAGTGTACCTTATATGATTAAGCTGTTCTGAACCCACTTGGAAAAGTCTAAAATTTAAACAGCTAAGTAAAAACACATTTAAACATGGGAAATGTGTGGTGGTATCATTTTGAAACACCTTTCAACAAGACACCAGAGATTTAAATAGAATTGCCCATGCATCCACTTTTCTCACATCGAATTGGGAAAGGGGCCAGAAGAGAGGAGTATGTGAATGAAGTTGAACAAAATTAATGGATTCTCAATGAGCAGATCCAGATCTTATCAGTGTTTGCCACAGAAGCAGGAAACTGGCAGCACTTGTGTTATGGATGAAGCAAAACAGGGTGGAGAGGAAGAGGACATTGCCACTTGTTGATCCATGGAAAAGATCAGAAGATTAACCAAAAGCTACACTAGTGGTATTTGAACTGCTCTTGACTGACCCTTCTTAGAAACCTCCATGACATGTGGACATATGGCAGAAAGAAAGGGTGCAGAGATGTGGAGGATAAACCAGCAGAGCTCTGAGATCCTCCAGTGGGTAGCTCTACTTATCAATTTTACATATTAAGCTTCCAGTTTTGTTTGAAAAAATGGTAAACAATCCCCAAAGAAAAGCTCTCTATTCTTCAATGTCTGCCTAAATGACACCATTGACAACTATATCACCGCATCTTGGGAAAATTCCTTACATCTAGGGAATAGCCAAAGCTATTAGGGAATTTTCATTATATTGAAAGGACATCTCTTTTTTGTACATATTGATCTTATTTCCATCATTCAGGCATGACACCTGTATTAGTCCGTTTTCATACTGCTATAAAGAACTGCCTGAGACTGGGTAATTTATAAAGGAAAGATGTTTAATTGACTGGCAATTCAGCATGGCTGGGGAGGCCTCAGGAAACTTACAATCATGGTGGAAGGTGAAGGGGAAGCAAGTCACCTTCTTCACAGGGTGGCAGGAAGAAGTGCCAAATGAGAAGGGGAAGAGCCCTTAATAAAACCATCAGATCTCCTGAGAACTCACTCACTATCATGAGAACAGCATGGGGAAAACCCCCTCCATGATTCAATTACCTCCAACGGGTCTCTCCCTTGACACATGGGGATTATGGGGATTACAATTCAAGATGAGATTTGGGTGGTGACACAAAATCTAACCATCTAACACCTACAGAAATCATCTATTCCCTCTTTTCCATGATGGGTTTTCAACTATTTGAAGTCTGTTAACTTGCTGTTTCTGCATTTCTTCTTAATGCTAGGATTCCAGTAACCCCTTTTCAGATGACATTGTTTTGAATCTCCTCACGGCTCTGCTTTCTCTACTATAAAAGTTCCTGAGTTTGTGTACATGCCTATGCAGTGCACTTATTTTAAAACAAATTGATTGATATTGCCTATCTAAAATGAGACAAGCTAGAATATTGAATGCCTTGATTTGGGTGGACATTGGCAAACATTTGAAATCCAGAAATCTATTGCAATCAGTCTCTTTTTATGTTCTATGATTTACCACCCTCATTGTCTCAAATTCCAGTAAATTTTTGTAAGGATTAATATCCTTACTGACAATTCTGAAAAAAATTCAGTGCCTCTGCTTTCATGGTCACCAGGAGCCCTGAGCATCTATTAACTCTAAATTTTAATTGCATGATGATTGTCCTAATGTCCTTTGTTGCCTGTGCTTTCCTTCTAATATCTTATTAGCCCTGATGTGAACTTAGCACCTTTTCTATTCTTTCATCACACTTCTACATCAGAACACATTCACATAAAATGTTTTGTTTGTATCAGACTTTATGATTTTAGCAGATGGAGCGGCTTGCTTTAAACAATGTTGATTCCTTAAAAAAAAACTTTTTTTTTTTAAGTTAAACAACAGGCTCCTTGGCCATTTCTAAGAGACCTTCAGCTTTTGGACCTCGTGTTCGGATCCCTTTTCCTCCTCTGTCTTTGCCTTTCTCTTTCAGCAGCAAAGCCACATAGCCCTCATTTTCTTCTTTAGAGCAATTTTGTTCTCTTTATTTCTTATCCTCAAACTTAGCTGATGTCTCTGTTAAAGTTTTGAAATTTTTATTTGGAAGAACCCATCAAGTTATATTTCTGCTAAAGTGGTTTTTCCAGTTCTTATTTATGAGAAGGGCTGTTTTATTAAGCACAAATTTTATTAATATAGTTTAAGTGCCATCACACATTTGGGGGGTTACTTCTATTTAATATTTTCATCAGTCAAATTAAGTGTATAATTTAGCATGGAGATTTGTACCTATCGGGAGTGTCCTAAGAATAAACATGTTCAGGTAATGTAAAGCAATCACATTGGCTGATTTGAATTTTATTTTCTGGCCTCGGGCCACATGATGGTGAAAGGATTAAATGTAAGTTACACTAGCAAGCAACAGAAGAGAAAAACTGGATAATTCAGCTATAAAATCACTGATTCGAGCATACCACCTCCATGGTCTCTGAGGAGCTGCGGAAATACTGTTCACAGCACTTTCTTTCAGAAGCAGTTCTTCCAGACCTGCTACAACAGCTGATTGTGATGTTCAGCAGGGAAACTCAGGCAGATGTTGCATAAGGTCCTTTTTCTCACCTCCTACAGGAGTGCAATATGAATTAAAAGAACATTTATATTGTTAAACCCACCAAAAACGAAATACTGTCCCCAAGCCTCATGGTACAGAGCTACAGAGGCTAAACATAGCTTGATTTTTCAAGCGAAGGGTCTCTCAATATCTGTGTTTGAATATTAAGAGAGGGAGGAATAACAGAGGAAAGAGAGTTACTGTGAAAGAAAAGTATATTCAGGTAATTAAGTACATACAGAGAATGACAGTCAGAATTTTAAATTAACAAGCCCAACATTACTGGAAAGGAATGTGTCTCTTTCTGTGGCCTTGGCTTACTCCCAATGTAGAAGCACTATCTGCCTAAAATTATCAGCTACAGTGGAGTCTGTTCCGTGGTCTCCGTGTGCAGCACAATCATCCAAGGTCTATGCTTGATGGCCCCTGTAATACCATGTTACTGGAGGGAAACACTAAAATATCTATTTATATATACCTTTGATCTCATTATATTACTTTTCTTTTATAGCTTATTTAACGTACATATTCCACAGTGCATTTATATCACTTACAAATAAACGTGTGTAGATGTATACACACCCATGCACTTAATTTTTTTGCAATAAGGAATTTATAATAAAAGTAATTTTGAATACCACTATTTTAAAGGATTTATGGAGTCATCAGGTATCTGTTTACAAATGGGATTGAAAATACTCTGGTGAAAAAACTCAATCTCACTTTGGCTGTATCTGAAAGTTCAATGGAAACTACATGGCAAATCCTTTAGAACTGGCCTAGATTTTTTTTTTCTTGCTTAAGGACTTGTACAGATAGAGATCACTTTCCAGACACCTACTTAGGAATAAGCCCTTTTGTAACAGCTTGAGAAGAAAATGGTTTTCTGGGGTTCTTAGGAAATGGGACTGGTACAAAGGAAGGATGCTAACGTCTTTAAAAAGACAAGCTCTTTTTACATTGTAAATAAATGGGTGATTTTCATGATTTTTACCTTTGCTTTGTTAAGTTGTCACCTATTTGGACACTCTCAACCTACATATGGAGTTGAAACCGTGAGCATCAACCCATATTCCAAGGCTCCGCAGGAACTCCGTATATGATGGAAGATCAGACACGTCACGGTCAACTACAGAGGCATGCATTTTCCTAATAACCAGTTCTCACCAAAGAAGCTAAGTATATCTACAGGCAGAGCATGATGTGGTGACAACTAATGTTTTAGTTTTAAAACTATTCACGGCTGAGGCATCAAAGTCTGTTGTCATGAATAATGTAGTTCTGCAAATGATGTGAATTGATGGGACAGTTTTATTGTGAATGTCAGGTTTAGGCTTAGGTCAGAATTTCAGTTTTACTTTTTTTTTTTTTTGAACATAAATATTAGCATAGAAATTTGCTACATCCCTACCCCCTGAAACAAAAAGGAGAAAATAAAATTTTGCTGATTTCAGAAACCTGGCAAATATATTTTTTAAAGTTAGGGTGAAACTTGGTTTTTACTTGTAAGTCTGAGCATTCTTTAACTTGGTTTACCCTAAAATAAAACGGGCAATGACTCTAGGTTGGATGAGGCCAGATTCATGAAGACCTGGGCCTTCCCAAGGGATGACATTTTTACTTCCTACAACTGGGAAAATCAACAGAAATTTGAAATTGCTTCTCTGGGCCATAAAATAACAAGGGATCTGAGTTTATCTACCTTGATTACCACAGAATTAAATAAACTAAAAATAGCTTGGTTAGGAGACTGATAGAAAAATACCCTGGGAAGGTCTTTTTTTATGGGAATCTTTTGGGCATGAATGACAAGACTGTCATTGATTTATGACTCTTTGTTACTGAGATGAGCATGGCCAGGCCAGTTCTATCAGCAAGAAGGCAAACTACTTAATCATATTCATATCCTCTTGATTTATTTTCAATTGCCATCACTGCTTTTTTTTTTTTTTTTTGCATTTGGTTTGGTTTGGTTTGAATGTCAGCCATCCCTCATGACCTAGGTTACAAAGGAAAAACAAAAAGAGAGGCTTTATAGGAACTTGAACATGGAATAGCTCTTTCCCTGTACTCCAGTGGTGAGTAAAGTCAAAATAAATCAGGAATAAATTCTGACAGCCAATGAGCAGGCCTCAAATTGGCCCTGAGCCATTCCATAGTTGTTTTATAATTACATCTTCACATACAGCAGATTTACATGTGTTAAGATTCATTTAGAAATGGCACATGGGCACCTGCAATTTGGCATTCCAGTTAGAGCCCTAGTGTATCACACACTTGATTAATAAACTCTGAAGTGCTGAAATGATTCTGTGTCATTAATCATATTCTCTTCTACCTCTGTATTACCTGAAATCATTAGAGGAGAAAGCCTGAAGTGCAATCAGCTACCAGCATGTTAATGCAATGACTGGACTCTTAGCTCCAAACAGGCTAAAGAAAATAAGTGGGAAATTACACTATATCTGGTTTTCATGTCGGGAAGATTGTGCTGCAACCCTTCTTTAAAACATGGGACATCTTATGAAAATCACCTTTTAATAATACCTAACAGAATTTATGACTACAGACAGACAGACAGATAGACAGTTTCACCTACTAGAATAAACATCAGAAGAGCTCACTGCTTTGTGGAGAAGGAAGTCCCCAGTAAGAATTCAGTTTTTGCCTAACAGCTGAAAGGGATCATGAAAAAACAGTAAGTTCTTCAACATCATCAGTTACCTGATTCATATTTGCACATATGTAATTCACTCCATCAGTCAGTGCTTACCAGGAGATAACACAGGCTTTTGAGGTATAGATCCATGTGTCTATTTTTCATTTAGATCGATTAGACTTATAGTCTGGATGTTTAAAGAGATTGCAGCAAAATTCAGGACATATCTGGTACAAGACCACACAATGTACATCGGCTGGTCGATGGAGACTTCTTCCCTATCAGGAATGCACTGAATTATTGTATACCTAAGAATTGATGTCTACTTGAGAAACTATAAATGAGTATAGGCTTTTACAAGGCAAAGGCAAAGAATGAAGAAATCTTTCAAATAAGACAAGATAAATCACTATGAGTTCTGGATCATAATATTGAAAGGGATTTTAATATTCAGACTGAAGTTGGGTAGAGATATTTACTTTGAATCAAATAACTTTTCTGCACATTATTTCTTATAATCTAAATAGTAAATCTTTCTATGTCAAGGATCCTGAAAGAGCAACCCTATTCCCTAATTTTCAAGAAGATTTGTTAGTGGAATTATTCCTTAAATGTTCTCCTGGCTGAACAGATCACCCAGCCTGTGATGCATCGGGCTACAATTGCTTGGTATATATGTTGAATAATATGATGAAATATGCTATTTTCCCCTATTTTTCCTATATTATTGAATTGGCCCTGGAAATTACTCAGGCTAAGAATGGAAAAATGCCATATTAGATATATACATACCTGTATTAGTCTGTTCTCATTCTGCTAATAAAGACATACCCAAGACTCGGTAATTTATAAAGGAAAGTTTAATTCACAGTTCCACATGGGTGGGAAGGCCTCACAATTATGCAGAAGGTGAAAGGCACATGTTACATGGTGGCAGGCAAGAGAGAATGAGAATCAAGTGAAATGGGTTTCCCCTTATAAAACCATCGGATCTCATGAGACTTTATTCACTACCATGAGAACAGCATGTTGGAATCTGCCCCCATGATTCAATTATCTCCTACCGGGTCCCTCCTACAGCATGTGGGAATTATGGGAGGTACAGTTCAAAATGAGATTTGGGTGGGGACACAGCCAAACCATATCAACACCTCATGACAATACTCACAAAAACTCAGTAGTTCAATTCTGAGGTCTTCTCTCATTATTTGTAAAGTGAAGGACTTGGGCCAGGTGATCTCTGAGATTGTGTCCAGTTGACATGCCCCAGGAATCTTCACCGAATGCACAGAGATATAAATTCCATGAGGGCAAAGACTTTGGTAATCCTGTCCACCACAATTTTTCAAAGGAAATTTACATCCATTACTTTACCTGTTTCCCACATTAATCCTGTCAGGCAGTTGTATCAGAAACTGCTATATTTATTTTGCAGAAGGGAAACCTGAAACTAGGAAGTGAAGTGACTTTCCAAATCTCACACATCAGTGGCTAAGCCAGGACCTGAACCCATGTGTTTTATGCCCGGCTGTTGTCTAGTGGGCACCACCATCAAACACACTGAGTTGTATCTTTGGCCTAGAGCCACTGGTGTCCTGGGAAACGTTAAACAATCTGATTCCCAAGGGGGTTCAGAAATGAATACACATCTATGTACATAGATAGAGTTGTATGTATACATATATGCATACACATTTATTATCGGTTTTACTGACATGAAGGATGTATAACACATTTACAAATAATATAAAATTATATAATAATTTTTAAGCTATAGGTCATATAGCCATTGATTCCTGAAGAATGCCTTTATTGATCTCTATTAGAATTTTGCATTTGAAGCCAAGCTACGGTTGCAGTTCAACTCTGATTTGACAAATAGAGTTTCTTCCCAATCTACTAGCAATTTCCCAAAAAATGTATGGTCATTACATTTGATGTGCTGTACTGTTAAACAATTTCTAACCCTTATATAATTATATTGGTTAAACTGAAACCTTTTTCAGCTTCCACTAAGACAACTTCCTATTTGTTGTGTTTGTTGATTTCAGAGTTGGAAATACTCCATGGCCAAGATCAAGCCACCAATGTGACATTACCAAGTAGAGTCGGGATGAGATGCACAGTAATGCACTGTCATATAGTATTTCCATTCTAGAGATACAACAGACATAAATAAACTCAACACCATAGGTAATAATAAAATGTAATGAAATAATTAGGAAGTAATGAGTTTCAAACATTTATTATCTTTGACTTTAATATAAATTATTTTATTGTAAGCTTATATAACTTAAGTTTTAAAAATGACTGTTTAACAACCAGTTTGAGTTTGCAACATTTCTGAAAAGTTAATAATTGTCTTTGTTACAAACAGAGCCATAGATACGTGAACATTTTTCACTTCCCAAGTAATCCTATGCTTTTACAGCCCTAGGTATTGTAGAGTTCAAATGGAAATTTCTTTGCCCATTCTGAGGTATACTTAATCATAAGGTGCATATGATATTTCTATGTTTGTGGTTATCGTTGATGTGCAGCCAGATACTACGTGCAAATTTGGAAATGTTGAACTCTCTGACTGAGGTTCTATGAGAACACAATGGAAAATAATTGCGTTTGCTTCCCCATCCTGCCATCATTCTGACCTGGCATCCTCTCCTCTTACCATATAGATAGACTTCCTGGCTTAGCTAGCTTCCTCTTTCCTGGTTCACTCTCTAGGAATCTGAAGAGTGGCTTTCTGACTTTCTACCTAATACCATTCTAAGCACCAGTCCTTCCCACCTGTCCTTCTAAGACCCTGGCACGATACATTTATAAATGAAAGCTTATTAATCTCTACTCCTATTGCCATGCAAAATCACAAACCAAACCAACAAATATTAAAGTGAAATATTGCATCAGTTGCATCTAAGTGCAACATTTTGATTACATAATGAAGTTGAGGTCTGTGGATGACTGAGAATAGAACGATAATTACAAAGAACAGCAGTTTCTCCTTTCAGAGGCCTATAGGCCATCATCAGACAATAAGTCTCTTTCTATAACTAAAGACTTGCCCACCACATAATACTGTTCCCAAAGCTCTATCTTCAATTCCCTTCCCTTTCAGTAATATCCAAAACCAAGTGTGGTGAGGGGAGCTTACATCTGTTTCTGTTTAGAAATTTAATGCCTGCAGTGGGCAGGATTCTAAGATAGCCCTAAAATTCTCATCCCTTTTGTACATACCTTGTGGAATCCTCTCCCCTTGAGTGAGTGAGGAACCAATGACTATGACAGGATATTACTCCTGTGATTTGCTACTAATCAGGTGACTTGAGTTAATTCAAAGAGATTATTCTGGGTGAGACTGACCTGATCAGAAGGCCCTTTGAAAGAAGGTGATGTGGAGTAGATGGATGGTTACCAGAGGCTGCGAAGGGTAGTGGGGGAACTGGTGAGGGGTGAGGGGAGGTGGGGATGGTTAATGCATTCAAAATATAGAAAGAATGAATAATGCATACTGTTTGATGGCACAACATGGAGGCTATAGTCAATAATAACTTAATTGTACATTTTTAAATAACTGAAAGAGTGTAATTGGATTGTTCGTAACACAAAGGATAGATGCTTGAGGGGATGGATACCCCATTCTCCATGATGTGATTATTTCACATTGCATGCCTGTATCAAAACATCTCATGTACCTCATAAATGTATACATCTACTGTGTATCCACAAAATTTAAAGAATACAATTTTTTTAAAGAAAATGATATGTCAGGAAAACGTGTTCCTGTTAGCCTGGAAGAAAACAAATAGCCATGCTTTAAACTACCTCTGGGGTCCGTGTGGCATGACATAGTGGGTGGCTTCAGGAGCTGAGAGAAGCCTCTGGCTAAGAAAGAGCAAGAAAACAGGGATGTCAGTCACAGGGCTTCAAGGAAGTGAATTCTGCTAACTGTTGCTTGGAAAAGGATCTTTACCCTCACATGAGAATTCCAGCCTTGGCTAGAACCTTGATTTCAGTCTGGTGAAAACATGAGTAGAAGACTCAGCTAACAAGTGTTTGGACTCCTGACCCTGGAAACTATAAAATAATATATCTGTGTGATTTTAAACCTCTATGTTTTGTTATGCATCAATAGAAAACTAATAAATGGTCTGAGGCTCCCACGAACCTTAACTCCTTTAATCCACCCATAGGTCTCAGAAGTCCCAACTAGGCTTCAGTCTTGGCACTCTCTTTCAATGGACCTAGTATTGCTTAGGTCTTTTTGATTATATCATCCTTAAATCAATAATAAAATTAATTTTAACAAAATCTAAAATTATTTTTATGAGTGTATAATGCAATATAATCATGTGCAAGTATGTAATAGTTAGTGTAGCTTTAGTTCAAAACTAACTTTTGAAGGGGATAAAATATATTATAATATCTAACCACCATTGATCTGTGAAGGGCCTATATGTGTTGAACACAAGATACTTACCTGTGACTGTTTCTAATCCCACTATGGCGTCTCCAAATGACTCATGTGCTAGCTTCTCACATTTTGAATAAGTGTGCACTGAATGTCATCCCCTCTTTTTTAACTAGAGGGCATCGGTGCTGTGTCTAAATTCTCCCCTCTCTCATAATCATCATTTACTCCCTATCCTCTGCATACTTTTCATTAATATAGAAGCATATTATTTTTCTCCTGTCTTCATAACAATACCTCTCTTTTCAACCCCTTCAGCTACTACTCTTTTCCCATAAACTGAAACTGCCCAGAAGAGTTGGCTAAATTTTCTACAATTCTTCCTCTTTCATTCTTCTTCTTGCATATACATCAGTCAGACTTCCATCCCCAATATCTCACCCCATCTACTCTTAACAAGAGCTCCAGTCCTCAATCTGACTTAGTGGTATTTGACCAATTTAATTACTCCCTTCCCCTGGGAAAGTTTTCTTCACGTGGCTTCCTGCACACAACTCTCCCAGTGTTGCTCTTCTCATTGACTCTTATTTCTCAGCCTCCTATGCTGATTCCTCTTCATTTCCTTAACTTCTAAAATTAGGCTTGCTCAGAGTGTCAGATTTTGGGTCACTTCTTTTTACCTACATTTGGTGATCTTATCCAATCCTACTCTGATGACTCAAGTTCGTATCTTTATGGCTCTCACCTCTGAATTGTAGACTTGCATATTCTATTACTTATAGATACCACTACTGCAATGTTTAATAGTAACCTCAAACTTCGTGTACCTAAAATCACGCTTTTGCTTTTCCCTCTAAACCTAAATTTCCTGTGGTCTTTCCCATTTTGTCATATAGCATCTCAATCATTCTAGGTTCACAGGCAAAAAAAGAAAAAAAAGTCACCTTGGCTTCTTGACTCCTTTTTTTTAACGTCCACATAGAATCTGCTAGCGAATCCTGATTGCTACCTCCGAAATGTATCCAGAATCTGATCTCCTATTAACACGAACGCTGTCATCATTCTGTTTCAAGCGATGATCATTATCACAGTGGTCTTCAAGGTGATTTTCAGCTTCTGCCTTCATCTTCCTACAACTTGTTGTCAAACACAGTAGCCAAAAAAAATCTTTAAAAACATAATTTAGATTACTTTATAGTTAATGTTCTCCAACGTTTCTTATATCCATTAAGATAAAAGCCCAAATCATTAAAATGGGCCGTATTACAATAGCTCAAAAGGATTGCTTCCCACCCCCGTATTGCACTGTCTCAGACCTCCTCCTTTTCTGTTATTCTTCCCTCCTTTCTGGTCACTGAACTCTTCTCTCTGTCTTGCTGTTCCCTATGCCTGGAATGTTCTGTCTTCACATCTCTTTATCTCCTTCAGATCTTTGCTTTCTTCTCACTGAGGATTTTACTAACCATTCTTTTTAAAATCATAATCATTCACTACACCCTGACACCTCTTCTCCTATCTTGCTTTATTTTTTCCATATGTAACACAATCTGATATGCTAAAAATGTATTTCATTTATTTATTGACTGTCCCCTTACCCACATTAAATGAAAAGCTCCTTCAGAGCAGGCATTTTAGCCTATTCAGTTAACTGTATATCCCCAACATGGAAAAAGGAGTTGGCACATGGTAGGTGCTCAGCAAATATTTGGACTTTCCTTAATAGCTAGAAATTACAACATATCACAAATTATTGCAATTTAGAAACACTGAATTCTAATGAATTCATAATTTACAAATGATTTTTCAATTAACACTTAGCCTTTTAGTTAATAAATGGAGGTCATGTTGAAAACTGATCTCTGAAGACACCCCTGAATCTCGCCTTATCAACGTTGTTATTAGAAAATAAGATAGGCCAGGCGCGGTAGCTCACGAGTATAATCCCAGCACTTTGGGAGGCCGAGGTGGGCGGATCATGAGCTCAGGAGTTCAAGACCAGCCTGGCCAAGATGATGAAACCCGGTCTCAAAAAAAAAAAAAAAAGCTAAGTGTGGTGGCACTTGCCTGTAATCCCAGCTACCTGGGAGGCTGAGCCAGAGAATTGCTTGAACCCAGGAGGCAGAGTTGCAGTGAGCCAAGATCGTGCCACTCTACTCCAGCCAGAGCAACAGAGTGAGACATCATCTAAAAAAAAAGAAAAGAAAAGAAAATAGGATAAATACATAAAATTCAAAAATTATCTATCACACAAAACCGAAGAAGTTATCATGGTAAAAATTGTTGATGATTTATTCGTACTCCATTAATCTCTTCTTTCTTCCCAACATAGGCACCATTTTATTCAAAGAATGGTGACTCTATTCTTGCCTACAGATGTGGATATAATTAGTCTAAGAAAGATTCTATTTCTTTGCCAGAGATGTTCCAAAATGGGCACATCATCCTAATCTGATCAGTGAGACATTGGATGAGATTTGCTGGAAGCTTCTAGGAAAATCTTTAACTTCTAAAGGAGAGCCATAGAAAGCTTCTCTTGCCTTCCTGTATGTGATCAAGAAAGCAGTAGCTCTGATTTTACTTGGCAGCTGCCATAGAATCATGAGAGTACATTATTTCATGACTAATCTGTAGGAAGCACATCAGAGAGGAAGAACAAACCTGAAACTCTGATGACAGTGTTAAAGTCCTGCATCAATAAATTTTGAAGCTCACTCAATCTCTACCTTAATGAACTAAGTTTCCTTATTTTAGTAAGTTTTACAGAGGTAGTTGGTACCTGGAGCTAAAGGCATTCTAATTGTGAGAGCTAAAATATAAGCCATCAGAGAAAATTCTGAAAAATTTCTAACACACCAGTATTACAGGACAAAATTCACAGAAGCAAATTTAGCAAGAAATTTAAATTTCAACATATACATTACCAATCAGTTACCTAAAGGTAGGAGTGACCAGACTTAATAGCATTCACGTCAAAAGTATTTAACAGCTTTTATTGATGTAAACTGAATATAAACCAGCAAAGAGATGCAACTGTAATAAATTCAGCTATAATCTAAGGCCAAATTAATAGAAATATAATCAATACAGAATAATTTCTGGACCTTCATAATTCATGCACAGGGCAATACTTCATTGGAAAGTAAATTTTAAAAATAAAAATCATCAAGCAATTAAAAGTGATTTAAAGGAAGCCCAGTCCTCTCTTGTACCTTTGCATTTAAACATTGGAGGGGATTCATTTCAAATAAAGTACTTCCTAAAGTCATATTTTCTCATACCTGTCTTGCTAAACCTCTTTGAGTCTTCACCTGCTTAGAAGTCTCTATTCCTTTTCCCTCTTAGGCTTATTCTTATTTCTAATTTCCCTTCTACACTCCTCAATGTCTCTCTTAATTCTCACTCTCTCCTCTCCTACTCCTATATTATTATTCATATTTTCTATTTATTAGTAATTCAATCTTTTCAATAAAAAATCTGTCACCATTGAAAATGCTTAGGTTAGATTATGTCTCCTCCATCTCCTCTCTACTGATTAGTTTTATTAATACAATAAAATTATTTACTGACAAGAAAGAAGGAAATGTGGAAAAAAATTGTCAAAATAGATGGAATAACCAGCATGACTATTCAGAGCTAGATAGCTTTGGGAACTATTTCAATAATATCCAGTTTAAGGGATGGTAATTCCTTCATATCCTGAGACTCTAATGTTTCCTTTGGAGAATATAATATTCCATTTTCAGTATCATATCTTAACAGGGATATTAAAATATTAGTGAATATTCAAGAAAAAGTGATGTGATGCTGTATCAGTATGTTTAATAAGAAATGATGGAAGACACTGGAAAGGCTTGCTTTAGAAAAGTGCTTTGTGTTAGAGTTTTCTGCTATAATGAAAATCTTCTGTGGTGTTCAGCATTGTAGCCATTAGTATCAAGTGGGTATTGAATTCTTGAAATATGGCCACCGTAACTTTTAAATCTTATTTAATTTTATTTTATTTACATTTACATGGAAATAACCACTATATAACTCAAGAGTTTCACCAGAGAAACAATACAGTAGGATATGTAGCTCACTATCTATCTATCACCTATCTATCTATATCTATCTATCCACCTACGTATGTATGTATCTATGTATGTATGTATGCATGTATCTATATACCTATGCATCTATCTATGTATCTATCCATCTATATATGTATGTATGTATGTATGTATCTATGTATCTATCTAGAGCTTTACTGCAAGGAATTGGCTTATATTGGGGGCTGGCTAGGCAAGTTAAAAACCTATAAAGAAGGGCTGTTTGGAAACTCCTGGGCAGGAGTTAAAGCTGCATTCCACAGCACAATCTGTTCTTCTCCAGGGAAACCTCATTTCTGCTCTTCAAACCTTTCAACTGATTAGATGAGGCCTAAACATATTATCCCAAGATAATCTCCCTTACTTAACCATATTTGCAAAATACTTTCACAGTAACACCTAGATTAGTGTTTGATTGAATAAGTGATAGCTAAAGCCTAACTAAATTGACACATAAAACTAACCATCATAGCCATATAGGTTGGTGGCTACCATATTGGACAGTGTGGGTCTAGAAAAAAGGAAATTGAGGTTGGGCATGACAGATGACACTACATATTAAAATAACAGTGATAAAAATTGGGAACAGCTTTATATGTTCTGATAGTGGATTGGATGCACAAACCTAAAGGTTGAAACATCCTCTTCAAATTATTGAGAGAAAGAATTAATAGTCTTAAAATATCCAAAATTAGAATAGATCACCTGGCAAAATATTGAGCCCCTAGTTCCCAGAATTCAGAATGGGTGATTATAGGAAGAATTTTTTTACCCAGTATGGAATGGCTACCTGTCTTGGATGTTGAAGAAGGAATTATTTTAATGGGCTGGGCTTGAGCTATAACATTTTAAGACTCCATAATTTTCAGAGGTATAGAATCAAAAAGCTTAAATATATATAGGCAGACTTCCAATCAGGAAGTTATATGTAGGAAAAAGTTGAAATATGACTCTTTTTGGCATGCCTCCTTAGATGACAGGCTTGGGTTAAACATTTGTGAAACAAGGCAAGATATATAATAAAGAGATGATATGTTATTTCAAAGTTGAACATTGATAATGACTTACTTTCACTCTTACCTCAAAGCATGACACAGCACAATGAGACTGGTTAGTTTGGTAAGAAAGTAGATTTTGCAATCAAACTTAGACTAAGCTGAAATTAAAGGTATTATTTTTTCCTATAAATTGTAACAATAGCACACACAAAATGATGCTATAAAGTTTGCCTTAGTGCTCTGCGATTCTTTCACTTCTGCTTCTTGTAATTTTGTCACCATATTCCACATAAAACAAGCAAAATTCTAATTCTTCTTGTCTTGTTAAATCTTCTCTCAAGAAAGAACTTGAAACTCATTCATATACAAAACAGATGTGACTAATAATAGATTAAAATGTAATATTTTCTCTGCAATTTCAAGGTTTGATATACTGAAGTCTAATTATTGTATTTTGTAAATGATAATGTAGTGAGGTTCAGTAAAGAAAAATACATGGTGTATTTAAGATTAGGCAGTTGTTTACTAGTTGAGCCAGGGCTGGAACATAAGCCCCCCACTCACCATACCATATGCCCTTTCAACTACACTAGCTTTTAAGGTGATTATGTTGTATCAGAGATTAAAAAATACAAGTGAATAAATCCTCTTTCAAAAATGTATGTCTTTAGCAAGCAGGCAAGGGCTACATTTTAGGAAGGAAGTCTCTGGGCATTGAGTGAATCATCCTTTTGCTCCTGCCATCACACTATGCTGGATAGTTACTTCTTTCTTAAGATACATCTGTGAATCAAAATAGATGTACATACACAGGTTTTTCTTCCAATTTTCTGTGCTGCCTTAGTTGGTAGTTGGTAGGACAGGCTGGTTGGAAGAGTGAGGGTGGGGGAGCTCTTCAGTGGGGATTGAAGCATCCACAGTTAAGCAATGGTGGAAAGATCCATGAAATTGGCAATACTCAAGCCATTCTACAGAAATTCAAATTATGATACTTGGGGGATGGAGATTAGGTGATTTTTTTGTTTGTCCTTGCTCCAAATGAAGAGGTAAATCCAAATGCTGGAATATCAGCAGGGTTAGGCTTGTGTCCAGAAAACCCTGTTCAGGCCCGATTAGAATTCAAAGCCACAGGAATCTTGGGGAGTGTGTAAAGGGCTATTTAGTATGCAATGTTCACTAGAGTGTGTAAGACAGCCAAAGCTGTTCAGTTTATACTTCATCAGGAATTACCTCCTGTGTTCTCCTGCTCACAGCTGTAGAATATTTTCTTCTCCTTCTTTCTTTTTTTCTTTACCTCCCTCCCTCCCTTTCTGCCTCCCTCCCAACCCCCTTTCTTTCCTTCTGTTCTTCCCTACCTCCCACCCTTTCTTCCCTCCTTCCTTCTTTCCATCCTTCCTTTTGCTTTAAGGGTTTCTGTATCTACTATGGAATTATATAATTATACACACACACACACACACACATATCACACACACACATACACACACACAATCTTACAAGTGGAATAGAAGAATACAAGTAAAGACTAAAGAGAAGAGACTAAAATCTTACTTCATACCATTCATGCTTCCCACCTTAATTTAACTTATTTTAGAGCTCCTATTTTCATAGTAAATACTTTGTCTATGAAATTGATTATTGCCTATAGCTTGGGGTTCTCAGATTTTGTTCTATGACTTGTACCTGAAACCTGTGCAATCCTGGGACAAGTCTCTTGACATTCTGATGTCCTGTACTCTCTTGAGTTCATATTACGGGCAATCAAGAGAAGGTGTATAAAAGAATCTAGAAATATGCAGATATATTTCTGATAAACACATTGCTACTTTATGAAAACAAATTTCATTTTGCATTTGAGGAGGATACACTTATATATAGAATACTTTCTTTTCTCATTAATTGGCAGGTTAAAATATCACAGATATTTGATTTACATTTGGGAAATTAAAAATACATTAACATATTTAGAATCTATTTGTTTAACCTAGCATTTTCTAAACTTAATGCTCCATTTAACTTTTTTTTTTTTTTCGGAGTTACACTCATGTTGCCCAGGCTGGAGTGCAATGGTACGACCTCAGATCACTCCAACCTCCATCTCCCAGGTTCAAGCGATTCTCCTGCCTCAGCCTCTGGAGTAGCTGGGATTACAGGCACCAGCCACCATGCCCGCCTAATTTTCTGTATTTTTAGTAGAGATGGGGTTTCACCATGTTGCCCAGGCTGGTCTCCAATTCCTGACCTCAAGTGATCCACCTGCTTTGGCCTCCCAAAGTGTTGGGATTACAGGCATGAGCCACAGCGCCCAGCCTCCACTTAACTTTTTATTTCTATACCTTTTTTTTTTTTTTTTTTGAGATGGAGTCTCGCTCTGTCTCCCAGGCTGGAGTGCAGTGGCATGATATAGGTTCACTGCAATCTCTGCCTCCCGGTTTCAAGCATTTCTCCTGCCTCAGGCTCCCGAGTAGCTGGGATTACAGGTGCAAGCCAACACACCCTGAGAATTTTGTATTTTCAGTAGAGATGAAGTATCACCATGTTGGCCAGGCTGGTCTTGAACCCTTGGCATCAAGTGATCTGCCTGCCTCGGCCTCCCAAAGCACTGTAATTACAGGCTTGTGCTACCGGGTCCAGCATCTATAGCATCTTTTAATCCATAGCACTTACTTAAATTTCACAGGATATTAAATTAATGTAACTCACTTTTGGAAATTCTGGCCTACAAGAAAGATTTGAAGAAGCCTGTTGAATGGTGAGGTTATAGGTTAGTACCATTTTGTTGTTGTACTTTATAAATTATTTGCATTGAATACAAACCAGTTTTGCAACATGAGAAAATGGAGTAGAAATCTCTTGTTTTGCAACATGAGAAAATGGAATAGAAATCTCTCTTGTGATTCAAACTTGAGCTCATGTCCCTTAAGTCCTCCAAGGCCCATCATATCACCTTCCCTGGTTTTGCACAGCCTTTGATTTCCTTACATCCCCTAACCTCTTAGAGTTAAGATGCTAAGGGAATCCTGCACTTCAGCTTCCTTTGTCATGCGTCAAAAGGAAACTGTGATCTCAAGGTAAAACACACTGAAACTTAATCAGCCATTTATGCCTGGGACAGACTTATACATTAACATTTTTCTTTTAACTAGCTCTGGAAATGAAGAAAAAATATTTTGACCACAGGTGAAGAGGGTTGAATCAATTACTCCTCTCAGCTCATTGGCGCAGGGTTGTTACTGACCAGCCCCCTCTCATCCACATATCACCTTCTGTTTAGAACACTCTTGTGCAGGGTAACCTTTTGTAAGAATCCAGAGCCTTCTGTGGTCTCTCCACAATCCAGCTGTCAGATCCCAAGCTCCTCATTGATGACTATTCCAGCCCATGTAGGTTGGTTTACTAGATGGAGCTCCAACATCCTTTGTATTTTGTGGCATCTAAAACTTTCTCTTTTCCCCCTCCGTTTTGTTCATCTTTTCTTCTATCCTCTCCTCTTCTCCACCTATATTATCTGTTTATCTTATAATATCAAATTCAAGTCCCGCATTTATCCCACACATTATATCTCTTTGATCTGTCCAATTGTGCCAGTAGGAAAGGTCTACCTATAATGATCTGTGTTAAATAACTACACACACTCACACACACACACACAGACACACACTTGCACATGCAAATTATATGGGCTATTTTCCTCTGTCAAATAAACTGGCTTGCTCCTAATCCCAGGTGAGGGGGCAGGCACTCTCCCTATGATGGTTCAGCATGTGTTTGCTATGTGACATTTGCCCTGTATGTATTTGCTATATGACATTATCTCCTGTGCTTCTGTGAAATGTAATTTCAACTGCTGGAGTTTTGCCAGCTTATCGCTGCCACTAGCCAGTGGGGACACCTCACAGAAAGGACTATATATAAGCCGATCAAAGAACAAAGCACAGAAGACTTATAAATAGGAAGTTCTACATCCTGTAGAGGCCAAAGAGGTCAATCCTCACAAAAATCCTCTGGCATTAATCAATTGTCAGGCACTGCGTTGTAATCAAGAGTTGGCTTGCAAATAAAAATAAATAAAGTAATAGAACTTGTAAGAAGAATTGGCTTGGACTCAACAGGCTGCGACCTCAGAAGCCAGTAAGAACTTTGGACCAGGATATTCTCCAAATACAGCCAGAGTAACAGGTTGAAATACAGAAGTCCTTCCATTGATTCTGCCACATTTATCTCATTCTCATTGTTTAACCTAAAAGATATCTTCTACTATTAGACATCAAAGTTCGAGTGGTTACCTGTATGGGCAGGGTGGCAGTTTTCACACATCCTGGAAAGAGAATATTGAGATTTATTCTTTAGTCACTGTGTTTAATTGAGAGATTCTTGAACCCCGATTTAAGAAAAAACAGAAGCTGGCCAGGCATAGTGGCTCACACCTGTAATACCAGCACTTTGGGAGGCCGAGGCAGATGGATCACAAAGTCAAGAGATTGAGACCATCCTGGCCAACATGGTGAAACCCTGTCTCTACTAAAATACAAAAATTAGCTGGGCATAGTGGCACACACCTGTAGTCCCAGCTACTCGAGAGGCTGAGGCAGGAGAATTGCTTGAACCCAGGAGGCGGAGGTTGCCGTGAGCTGAGATCGCGCCACTGCACTCCAGCCTGGAAACAGAGTGAGGCTTCGGAGAAAAAAAAAACAAAAAAACAAAAACAGAAGCTAAGAGGGAGTCGCATGTACATTTGCATATTTTAGAGACCTAAGTCAGTAACACAACTACAAGAGCTAAATAACCGGGCAGCCTCTAAAAAGAGTCCTTAGAAAGTATGGCCTAGGAAGAGAACTCCAGACCTTTTGCATCCCTTGAACAAATATCCTGTATGTATTGGAAACATATGTTCGACATCAGATTTAGAATTTGTTATACTGTCAACAGCCCTGGGAAAGGAACTCTGAATTTTATCAAGAAAAGTCAGAGAGAGAAACCTCATGGTCCTCAAAATGGTTAACAGACAAGAAATCAGACCTGGTCACTTCCAATCCCTTATGTATTTTCTGTGTTTAGCCATTTCTATTATGAACTTAGTTTCCTGGAATTCATTATCCATTTGTCTTGTGGACACACTCAGTCTGTGATCCCCAAACCTAGGTAAACCCAACTTCTATGTACTTTCTTTTAACCTCAAATACTATGTCCAAACAGAATGAATCACTCTGGCCCATTCTGGCCCATTCTGCTCCTCCTAGAGACTTCCTTATTATTCTAAATGGTGCTACCATCCTCACTCTTGACTTTGTATAGCTCAGCATCCTGCCTAACCCCCTCCTTCATTCAGAAAAACTTAAACTTACACGGGAATAGGCTGGGAGCAGTGGCTCACACCTGTAATCCCAGCACTTTGGGAGGCCGAGAAGAGCAGATTGCCCAAGGTCAAGGGGTTGGAGACCAGCCTGGGCAACATGGCAAAACCCCATCTCTATGAAAAAATACAAAAAAACAACAAAAAATAGCCAGAGTGGTGGTGCGTGCCTGTAGTCCCAGCTACTCAGGAGGCTGAGGCATGAGAATCGCTTGAACCCGGGAGGCAGAGGTTGCAGTAAGCCAAGATTATGCCACTGCACTCCAGCCTGGGTGACAGAGAGAGACTTTGTCTCCAAAAACAAAAAACAAAAAAATAAAAGAAAAAAAACTTATATTGGAATAAAAATCATTGTCTAAGTGTAATAATATTAAACAAGTCCTCTCCATGAGGAACCTTTCATGAGGGTCTTGTTCTTCCATGCTTTTACTACACTGATCACTGTTGAAATTTCCAAGCCTTCAGATGAGTGTAAAAGGGAGTAATTTTAAAAAGACATACTGCCATGCAAATAAATCACAATATTTAGACCTTCCTTCTACACAATGATGGCAGGGGCTGAAGCAGGTGCAAAGGAGAGCGATTATCTTCGCTTACAGCCTGACTGACAGTCATAGAATTCATTGATTCTTTTGTATGACAAGTTACAAAGAGGATGGCTGTACTGAATATTTGCTCCTTGCAAATGTACAACATGGAATCTTGAAATGAGGCTTTGGCAGAACCATGGTGCAGAATCTTGTGCATTAATCAAACATAGCAGTTTCCTTGTTGCACCTAGCTCTCTGCTATTCTCCCAGAAAGTCAAAGTGCAAGCTGCCACAAAGCTATAGCCATCCCACCAACTTGACAAAAAGAGTGAATACATTTCAGTTACAAGGCAGCAGGGGCTACCTTCCTAGCAAGTCAGAAGTTTGGGAGCTGTTGAGCCCTCCTCATCTTAGAGTCTGTGCCCAGAGAGGACCCTTGGGTCAGACTCTTTTCTGCTGTAGTTGTTGTTTATCTTCCTGTGTGTTTATGCAAAGACAGGTGGGCTTGACTCGTGCACCACTGCAATTAATCTGGAAAAAGGACAAAATCAAATTTCAGGCTGTGCAGCTGGTTACATAATCTTCTGGAGCCCATAATCAGTTTTCTTTCTTTTCTTTTTTTTTTTTTTTTCCAAATTTCCCAGGGTTAAGGTAAGACCCAGGCACAGAGCAGCAAATCCAAGGCACTACTCAGTGATATCACTGAATCTTAGAGATGGAAGGAAGCTCAAGAAATTGAACAGACAACTCCAGCCCCCAAACGTTCCCTGGACTGGCATGCTAAACCAGAACCTACTATGACGATTTGGAATTCTGAAAAGCCTCACCTCTGATTCTCTAAACCTGCAATGATTTAACTAAAGCCCCAGACTATTCTGCAGAAAAGTATCTGCTAGAGTTTCATTCCCATAAATCTTGAACTCTTCCCACGGTAGCTGGAGAATTAGTAGTCCATCAGAAGAGGTAAAATTTATGAACCTCTTCGAGCTCACCCCAAGTACCAAAGAGAGGGGAAGTAATTCAATGAATAGCAAACTCCTTCTCAAAATTTGCCCTGAGGTTGGGAATTCTTCTGGGTGAAGGGACAGGGGTTCCCTTTGGGATTGAGCTGAGAAGATGGAGTTCTTACCCAGTTAGGCTGAGTGTAAGTTGGTAGCACAGAAATGAGTGTCTCATTGCTCATGCAGAAAAGTGCTGCCTGTGATACTGTTTATTCTAATGACCTTCACACTGAAGGGCTGTTAGTCTGCAAATGTGATACTTTCTTATCCAAAATGTGGCAAAATACTGGTGTGGAGCAAGAACTGGAACTCATTCTCCTTTGAAAAGTAATCAAATTCACAACATCCTTTAAAATAAATACACAGAAGAAACCAAGTTTTAAATAGGCATATGTTTGCCTAGAAGCAAAATAAAACATTTGAGTTTTCCCTCTCTCTGTGCCTAATTCAAATTTTGCTTGGCAGTGTTCAGATCCCACGGAGGTAACCTCCAAAGATTTTAATGTACTAGAAAGGAAGCTTTAAGAGTAATGATCCAGTTTCTCAGCTGGCAAATATTTTCTGACTCTGGACAGACCTCCCCTGATTCAGACCCTTCTGCTCACTGAAACAGAAGCATGATGGGTTCCAGTTTTGCGCTTTGGTCTGGGGAGGTGGCAGCCACACTGTTGCTCCAAGGCAGCTGTTAGCTCTTGAATTTACTTGGCAAGTGGCTGCCAACACAAGGTGCTGGGATAGATTTCATAGTACCCGCCACCACTTTATTCAATGCACAGCAGGCAAAGCTGAAGCATGCAGAGTCTCTGTAAAATGAGGCTTGCCAATCCCCACGTGTCTTTTGGCTCCTAGAAGCAAGCTGATTGATCATTAAGAGGACTGTCTGCTTTTTCCCATTTCACTCCCTGCTTTGGGATGTCTCCCCACAAAACTGCCTACAGTAAAAGTTCCTAAAAATATTTCAAACACATGCATCAAATTTGGCAGAATTGGGGAAGTCAGTAATGACCCCTATTTTCCCAGCACTTATAAGCTCCCCTCCACATACACACACATGCATACACATGCAACACACACACTCCCCCAGGAACAGTTGTAATGCACTCTTTTATAGACCATCATACTCATTGAGCTTTTGTTCGGGAATATTAGTGCAGATGCCAGTAGGAAGCTCCAGGAAGGAAAGACAAATAAAAGATTCCATCCTAAGCAACAAAAGTAAACCAGGCGTGGTGGCTCAGGCCTGTAATCCCAGCAATTTGGGAGACTGAGGCAGGTGGATCACTTGAGGCCGGGAGTTCGAGACCAGCTTGGCCAACATGGTGAAACCCCATCTCTACTTAAAATACAAAAAAGTTAGCCAGATGTGGTGGCAAGCACCTGTAATTCCAGTTACTTGGGAGGCTGAGGCAGGAGAATTGCTTGAAACCAGGAGGCAGAGGTTGCAGTGAGCCGAGATCACGCCACTGTATTCCAGTCTAGGCAAGAGAGTGAGATTCCATCTCAAAAAAAAAAAGTCTGCAATATAGAATTCAGATACTGAAAGAATTAAAATAAATTTCCAAAATATGTATTACCATTTTAGATCTAAATTTTACAAACTTTTGTGTGTGCATGTGAGTGTGTGTGTGTGTATACATCGATACACACATATATAAATAAGCTCCTTGACTTACAAGGGGAGTTCTTACATCCTGATAAACTCAACATACATTGAAAATGTTGTAAGTTGAAAAGGCATTTAATACACCTAATATACCAAACATCATAGCTTAGCCTAACCTATCTTAAATGTGCTCAGAACACTTATATTAGCATACAGTTGGGCAAAATCATCTAACATAAAACCTGTTTTATGCTAAAGTTTTGAACATCTTATGTAATTCATTGAATACTGAAAAAGAAAAACAGAATAGGTGTATGGGTACTCACCATTAATGTACACAGTTGAAAGCACATTGGGCCTGAAGAATGATTGAAGCATTGGGCTAAAATTAATTGCTGGATGGTGGGGGCGCTACAACAACAGAGTCATCAATTTCTGTCTGTTCTGATAAAGTTCAAGAATCCTTCGTAGAAGGCATGGGGGCATCAACACTTGTTGATGGTTTAGCAGGTATAGCATCCTTTAGAAAGATGCCAAGTATTAGTTGTTCACCCTCCTGATCGCGTGATTGACTGGAATGTGTGGCTCACAGCAGCTGCCCAGCATTAAAAGAGAGTATCCTACTACTAGTCTGGGAAAAGACTAAAATCCAAAACTCTAAGTATGGTTTCTACCGAAGGCATTTTTTTTTTTTGCATCATCATAGAGTAGAAAAATTGTAAGTCAAGCCATCGTAAGTCAAGACCATCTGTATATATATTTTAAATAATGTTATACAGTGGTAATACATATTCAATGCCATAAAAATTAAGAGGACCAAAATGAAGAAAAATCCCCCTACTGTCTAGAAATTACCACTAGACATATGTGTATGATTATGACAGCAGTTAGACCAATCATCCCCAATTTTTTGTCTATAAAATTTTGTTTCCACTTTTTTTATTAAAATATGTCATGAAATTTTCTCCTGTCACACAGAATAGTTTTCATTGTATTTGGAATTACTACACAGCTTTTGATAATATGGATGTGTCATAAGCCACTTTAGTCACACCTACTGTTGGATATTTAGTAGCTTCCAAATTTTTACCATCATAATTTATACTGTGATAATTTTTCTTCTCTCTCTCTGTCTGTGTGTGTGTTTATGTGTGTGTATACATACATATATATGTATACACTATATATATGATGAATACCATAGAACCATACATATATATATATGTATACACACCCATATACACACACACTTATGAACTGTAGTACATAAAATGCTCATTTCTCAGTACTCTTAGAAACACATAATATTATAATATAGCATAATCTTTTTCAGATTCCTAAGTGAAAAGTATAAATTTTGAGGTCAGTGTATATTTCTTATTAGGAGTAAGTTTGAATGGTTTTTCAGGTCCCTAACATACATGTTTCTGTGTTTATATATTTCCTTTTTGGTTTATAGCACATTTCTCTATTACCAGTTTTTTTCTTCAAATTATATGTAAGAACTTGATATATATTAAGAATATACATTTTTCTTTTACATATTTTGCTGTTTTTTCAAGCTTACCATTTGTCATTTAACATTTTAATGTACACTTGACAATGCATCATTTTTAATTAGACAGTGATAGAGTGAAGAATATTGACCTTTACCTTTACATCTCCAATCTTTGATATTGTGCTTAGAAAATCCTTTCCAATCTCCAGGCCTGGTGGCTCACGCCTGTAATCTCAGCACTTTGGGAGGCAAGAAGGGTGGATCACGAGGTCAGGAGTTCGAGACCAGCCTGACCAACACAGTGAAACCCCATCTCTATGGAAAATACAGAAATTAGCCGGGCATGGTGGCACATACCTGTAATCCCACCTAGTCAGGAGGCTGAGGCAGGAGAATCGCTTGAACCTGGGAGGCAGAGGTTGCAGTAGGCCGAGATTGTGCCCACTGCACTCCAGCCTGGGCCACAGAGCAAGACTCCATCTCAAAAAAAAAAAAAAAAGAAAAAAGAAAACCCTTCCTAATCACATTTTACAACCATTTCCTAGACTTTTAGATACTTTAATGTGTTTTAATTTTAAATATTTTGAACAACTAAAATATTCTTGAGTATAAGATAAGCTTATAATAAAACAAATAGTTACTGAGGACTTATTAAGTGGCTAATGATATAGTGAGTCAGTTAGAGAAGTGAATGGATTCAGTAATGTGGCTTTGTTAATTGTCAGTTAGCATGTATTGCAATATAATGTGGAAATATTCTGTTTTCACCTTTAAAAGTGAGGATAACCACTATTCCACCAGAGCAGGCTAAAAATATTTTATCACTATGCATTTTACTATAAAACACTTCTTGATAAGGCTGAATGACACTAAAGCCACAGTCATTGTTCTTATTTACCCATTAATAAAACATTTGATTCTCTGTCCTCCATTTAATATTAATATGTATGTAGTTATGTGGAGAAAGCATTACTCACCAAAATTTTTTTTTTAGGAAAGCCTAGTTATAGACTGAAGAAATGCTTCCCTCTATAAACAAATATAAACCTGGACAAAGTGTGTGAGGCACCTGTCTGCATGCATTGAATAACAGGCAGTCCAGAATTGTGTTCCTTGAGAGATGGTGTACAGATATTCTGAGCCCAAAATATTTCCAGGCTTTCAACCCTGGAGCATGTTTCCTATCCTGGGGCAGGAATGGTAGAGTCAAAGGAGTGTTGAAGTCTCACTGAGCTTAGGAAGCGGAGTTTGAAGTGCTGAATTTTCAAGTGAAGTGGCTGGAACTTGCAGAGCAGAATGTTAGAAAGAAGGAATTTTCACCAGTTGGAAGGTAGCTGGCCAAGGAGTTCACATGAAGGTTTATCATGGATCCTTCATGGCAAATAGCTGGCTGTTCATAAGCAGGGAGGAATTCTGTAAGATGTCAAAAATCAGTATCTGCAGGTCTAAGACATAAAATGACACACCAGAAATAGCACAGGCCTTGGAGATGTTTGCATTCTGGCTCAGTGAAAGTAAAGAGACGTTGCTGAACCCCTGAGTTATTTAGCAGGGACATCATAATGACCACAGGACAAAGACTTAGGATTGAAGATAAATTTAAGTGAGCCCTCTCTAACAAAGAATTAAACTAAGTGAAAAAATTACTTAGTAAAACAAAACTTATAACCTTTTGACAGAAGACCGCAGAATCATAAATCCTTACAGCACATTATTCACAATGTTCATGTGCAATTCAAAATCAACACACATGTGAAGAAACTGGAAGATAGCATCCCTTCCCCAAAAAGCAGTCCATAGAAACAAAACATAAGATAAGCCAGATGTTGGGATTAGCAGCCAAGGACTAAAAAGTCACTGTTATAAAGATTTTCAAAGGCATAAAGGAAAACATAATCATGATGATAATAATAGATGGAGAATTTTGGCAGATAAATAGGAAGTATAAAGGAAAATTTATATCTGAAATTATTATATGTGAAAAGAAACATTCATGGATTCTCTTAGAATGGAAGACAGTAAACTTGATGACAGATCAATAGAAATAATCCACTTTGACATTTATAAAGCACCACATTTATCAACTGAAGAAGTCATATTCATTTTGATTCTAAATGGAACCAAGAAATATACTATATAATAACCCCCCCAAATATCGACGCATTTCAAAATATTAGAATCTTACAGAATATTTGTATAGTCTAGAGTGACAGTAATTTAGAAATCAAGAGCATTAAGAGATTTAGAAAATTCCCCCACATATTTTGAAGGCAAATGATACACTTCAGTGCAGGAATTGATTTCTCTGTCGTATGACGTTTCCATAATTTTTTAAGAATGTCCTGATTTTGTGGTACCATGAATTGTTCCAGATTTTTCTTATACTTTCCTTGCCCATATACAGGAATCAGAATTTTTTTCCAAGGACTCCTCATTCGTTTACTTATAGAATGGCGTTTAGAAGTCAAGCCCATTAGCACTAGAATGCCATTACTCTTTGAGCCTCTCAGCAGAGAGAATTACATATGCCTGTACATACATATAAACATTCATTTTTATATCCATCCATCTGTATTCACCTTAAAAAACATTGGTGTAGTTCTAACTTTTTTAATGATGTCAGAGACATCTTTCTTAAGTTCTAATTGCCTTCATTGTCGCCAACAATTAGACGGGAAGACCAGCTTTGCTCTTAATTTTAAGTTTGGGAAGGCAGCCCTTACTCTAATTTTGTTCCTTATTCTTTTCTTTTAGGCTCATCAGAAATATCCATACATTAAGCCAACCATTCAGATCTTTACAAAAGTGGATGGAATGTTGACGTACACACTGCATTAGGGTAGGTAAGTAAGTGATAAATAGCACAATGTGAAGTTCTACACTTTCCATATTCAAGCCATCCTCTTACCTACTTCCCAAGATAACTGATTTTTATTTGTACTTTTATTCTACTTCCTATTTCAAAAAAATAGAGGGTCTTTTGGCTGAACATCTATGTGTATATATCCCTGCTCCAGAAGAAGGTGTAAACCAGGCTGTCATCATTACTGATTATTCCATGTGGTCAGTTTTTTCCCTTGTCACTATTGTCATCACCTCGCCTCACACTCTCTCTTCATGCAACCATAAACCTCTTCTGCTCACATGCCTTAGCAAAATTATCGGTGGCCAACTAGTTGCTATCATGAGAATATTTCAGTTCTCCTCTTGCCCCACGTCTCTGCGGTATTTGATCGTGCTCTCCTTCAGAGCTGTTGCATGCATAGATTTTGTGCACATGGCTGTTATGAACTGCAGCACACCCTCCTTATTAAGATCCTCCTACCCCCACACCTCACACACCATAATCTTTTTAAACTATTCTATTCTTCCTTTGAGATTTCCTAGCTTTTCAAGTTGAAGGCTTTGTCTGACACAAACTTGAGAAGCACCCTGAATCGCTGAAGCTTGCATACTTTTCACATCTACCCTATGTCTAAATTCTGATAATCCTATCTATGGTTTCAAATTCATTCTCTCTTCTGTATCTGCATAGTCACTATCCTGAGGCAGGCAGTCATCACCTCTAGACTGGATTAGGGACTCCTCAATGTTCTCACTATCTTTCATTTCCCCCTAAATCCTATCCTTTACCCTGCCATCAATGTGATTTTATACTACATACATCTGATCAATTCACCCTACTGCTCAAAAAGTTTTCATGGCATTTCTTTGCTTACAAAATTTATATCTAAACTTTTCTGCAAGTTTTCTAATATTTTTGAGACTTGTCTGTTTTTTGCCTACTCCTTTTGACTGTTTAGAACCTCCTTGCTCTTCCTACTCCTCACTCGTTAGTTAGTGCTCTTAATACTCTCATTTTTGACTTCCATGACTCTGTCAATCTTTTTTGCCATGGGGTGAAATTCCTTAGGTTTAGGTCAATCACTTACCTGTGATGAGCCTACATTTACAAACATGTACATATATATTTCTAATCTGCATATGATGATCTTTGTATATTCTGAAAGGGATAAGAATGAACAGTTAGATGGGGAAGAGATTCCTTCTCTAAAAGAGAATGACCCTTTCAGCAAAGAAGAAAACTATATAGGGAAGTGGTTTCAGAGGCTTGGTATAGATGTAAAAGGGAGATTAGGGAAGGATATTAAAATCTGAGATTAGTTTCCAGTTGAATTTGAAAAAAATTGATAAATTTTCTTTGATTTGTCTTTGTCACCTAAAATTCACTTTGCAATTCTGAACAACAAGACACTGACCTCAGTCAACATTGGCTCTCTCTCTTAGGTTTTGCAGCAAAATTTCTTCCCCAACCCCCTTCACGCCACCAGGGTGGGATCTGTGGCTTGGTGTAATCCTAGCTATCGTCAGTTAATCATACCTCCTTAATTCATTTCATGGGCAAAGCATTAAGCACAACTGAACCTGTGATCACTTACATGCCGTTAGGCTATTTCTGCTTATTCAGCTCATCTTTTGGTTTTGCAGCCTTTCTCTTGAATACATTTCCTCTGAGTAGTTCTGGTTAAAACAAAACTTAAGGCAAACTAAAACAAGAGTAAAGCAAACTGAAGAGATTACGATTTAAAAACAGAGGAGAGGGTGATATGCCATATGGCCAGCTCAGCATGGCCTTATTGTACACACAAAAGCATTTTATAGTGGCTTCTATAGCATACAAACAGCCTTGTCCATGACTCCAGCTGCCTATTCCCCCAAATAGCTCCAGAGGGCATCCCTGTGAGACGGTATGGCATGTAGGGAGTTTGGCATTTGCTGGCGGGAGACAACCCCACACCAGAGTCTGAATCCCATAGTTTTCCAGGCTGTAGGGGGAAAGCAGTAAGTACTGAGAACCGTAGTTGTGATAGAGTCTGTAGCTTGGGGATTGAAGACTCTCCCAAAGTCTTCAATACACACATCACTGGGCCTGGTCTGAGGAAACAGCTGTGCTGTTAAAAGAGTAAGTGCATACTGCTGTGGGGCTTTTAATTGAAGAGGCATAACATTAGACCAGATGAGGACCCACCATAATTAGAAGACAGACTACTTAACGGCCAGTAGCCATGGCCTTGAATGGGGAATGGGAATTCAGCTACTTGGCATTTCTCTCACTATAGATCATAATGGATTAATTAGAAATGCACAAAGACAAAAACATGCCCAAGGTAAACATAAAGCCACATGGAATTGCACTGAACAGCATTATGAGCACTGCAGCCCAGAGTTTGCAGCACTCCCATCTGAGTGTTGGAATGAAGGCCATAACAAGCACACCCAGCTCTGTTCTGCCCTTTTACTGAGCCTTAAATTTGAAGAGGGGCAGCAGCTTCACAACCCAATCACGTTAGACTTCTACAGAAAGAAGATGCAGAACATATTCTTCCTCTTCGGTGCCTACGTCAACGATAGTTGTTTTATTTTCTTTCACCTTTCTTTCCTGCCACATCATTTCCTGGGCTTATTCTGCCTCCTGAAATAGCTAAATTTTTCACCTTGCCCACCCACAAAAGCAAGTTGATGGTTTGCAGATAGTTTTACACCATGCAGAAGAAAACACAGCCATTCTTTGCAACATCTCATTTAGTCTCAGGCATAGCAAAAATCATGTAATAGAAAGAGCAGGACTTGTGGTCAGGTTTCCCTGGATTCACATTCAAATACTGCAATGTACCAGCATAAATTATGTATTACTTATCTTCTGTTAAAATGGAGTTAAGGGACAACATACTGTGCAGGGTTGTTATGAGAAATAAAGAAAGCAACACCATCTAAAACACCCAACACAAAAGCACCTTACACATGGCCTGATACCTAATGAAAGTTCGGTGTCAGTTTCCTTTCTACTCAGTTTTTGGTATGAAGTGGTCAAAAGTGATAGGATTATCTGTCCATAATTGAAAAGCTGAAACATATTGTAAATCCTTCCTCTTAGTATAGCCCCAATTGCATATTTTACAACTGCCCTCAAGGAGCTCAACAGATGGATTTTAGCAGTTTCTTTCTGTCATTTATTGGAGAGGGAAGAGGTTAAGGAACACAAGATGACTGAAAAGCAAAGAGAATGAATTGATCTGCACACCTGATTGTTAATGCCTCAGTAAATGGTGGGCTTGGTTCTACCCTGTAGAGATATAAATGGCTACCTCCAGAAGTCACAGGTGTTTGTCACCCTAATGGCACTCAAGCAGAGGCCCAACAGACTCTTGGAAGACATTGTAGAAAGGATGTGTTTGTAGATGGAACATGATCTAAATGTGGACCTACAAGGTTTCTTGTGACTGGAAATTTGGTGCTTTTATCACTTGAGTCAAGCAATAAATAGAAGCATAGTCTTAGGAACTGAAGAATCAGAGGTCACTCTCTGATTATTTAGTGTTTTGTATGTAACACAGAGAGTAGAAGACTTCACACAAACTGACTTTGAATGATTTTTACCAAGTGTCTAAGTTATTTATAGTGGAAGAAGTCAAGTCACAAAGGCTCTGAATTACAATATGGAAGGATCATTTCTGGCTTCCAATTGCCTTGGAAATATCAGAGCGAATATTAAGAGCCATGTACATAAAGATTCTTGCAAAGATAGGACTTCATTTATGTTCTTGGTGGGGTCGGCTATGTCCCTTTAAGGTGTCTCATTAAGCGGAAATTTGACAAAACATCAAAGTCCAAAACTTGGGGCCAGAAATTTGTACTTTGTGAGTCTTGCATTGGGATGACTGTGATTTATCTCCAGGAGGTACTAGTTAAATTCAAATATGATAATTGGGAAAAAGAGAAATCAATACCTAGACATCTGTTTTTTAATATAGACTTTTTGAGATGAGAAGGCATGTACTGGTGCCAAAAAAATGTGCTGAAATTTAACACATTAGAACAGCCAGAAGAATATAAACTCAAATGTGTAGCAATTCAGGCCTACTGCCTTGGAGAGTGGAGAGGTTTAATCATGTCACTAGCAATATTTCTTTGGAGGATTTATATCACATTGGCTTTCTATTGTACCAGATAGATACCACTGTATATGTTTATTTGGCTTTTTTTGTTTATTTGAGACATGGGTAGATGCACAAGATAAACTATATAAAAAATGGATGATTTCTATCATTTCTTTTATTTATTTATTTATTTATTTATTTATTTATTTATTTATTTTTACTTGATCATTCTTGGGTGTTTCTCGCAGAGGGGGAGTTGGCAGGGTCATAGGACAATAGTGGAGGGAAGGTCAGCAGATAAACAAGTGAACAAAGGTCTCTGGTTTTCCTAGGCAGAGGACCCTGCAGCCTTCCGCAGTGTTTGTATCCCTGGGTACTTGAGATTAGGGAGTGGCGATGATTCTTAACGAGCATGCTGCCTTCAAGCATCTGTTTAACAAAGCACATCTTGCACCACCCTTAATCCATTTAACCCTGAGTGGACACAGCACATGTTTCAGAGAGCACAGGGTTGGGGGTAAGGTCACCGATCAACAGGATCCCAAGGCAGAAGAATTTTTCTTGGTACAGAACAAAATGAAAAGTCTCCCATGTCTACTTCTTTCTACACAGACACGGCAACCATCCGATTTCCCAATCTTTTCCCCACCTTTCCCCCCTTTCTATTCCACAAAACCGCCATTGTCATCCCAGCCCGTTCTCAATGAGCTGTTGGGTACACCTCCCAGACGGGGCGGCTGGCCGGGCAGAGGGGCTCCTCACTTCCCAGGAGGGGCGGCCTGGCAGAGGCGCCCCTCACCTCCCGGACGGGGTGGCTGGCCGGGTGGGCTGACCCCCCCACCTCCCTCCCGGACGGGGCAGCTGGCCGGGCAGAGGGGCTCCTCACTTCCCAGTACCTCACTTCCCAGTAGGGGCAGCTGGGCAGAGGCGCCCCTCACTTCCCGGATTGGGCGGCTGGCCAGGCAGAGGGGCTCCTCACTTCCCAGTAGGGGCGGCTGGGCAGAGGCCCCCCTCACCTCCCGGACGGGGCGGCTGGCCGGGCGGGGGGGCTGACCCCCCACCTCCCTCCCAGATGGGGCGCCTGGCCGGGCAGAGGGGCTCCTCACTTCCCAGTAGGGGCGGCTGGGCAGAGGCCCCCCTCACCTCCCAGACGGGGCGGCTGGCCGGGTGGGGGGCTGACCCCCCCCCACCTCCCTCCCGGATGGGGTGGCTGGCTGGGCAGAGGGGCTCCTCACTTCCCAGTAGAAGCGGCCGGGCAGAGGCCCCCTCACCTCCCGGACGGGGCAGCTGGCCGGTGGCTGACCCCCCCCCACCTCCCTCCCAGATGGGGTGGCTGGCCGGGCAGAGGGGCTCCTCACTTCCCAGTAGGGGCGGCTGGGCAGAGGCACCCCTCACCTCCCGGACGGGGTGGCTGGCCGGGCGGGGGGCTGACCCCCCCACCTCCCTCCCAGACGGGGCGGCTGGCCTGGCGGGGGCTGACCCCCACCTCCCTCCCGGACGGGGTGGCTGCCGGGCAGAGACGCTCCTCACTTCCCAGACAGGGTGGCTGCCGGGTGTAGGGGCTCCTCACTTCTCAGATGGGGCGGCTGCCGGGCGGAGGGGCTCCTCACTTCTCAGATGGGGCGGTTGCCAGGCGGAGGGTCTCCTCACTTCTCAGATGGGGCGGCCGGGCAGAGACACTCCTCACCTCCCAGACGGGGCCGCGGCCGGGCGCTCTCACATCCCAGATGGGGCGGCGGGGCAGAGGCGCTCCCCACATCTCAGGCGATGGGTGGCCGGGCAGAGACACTCCTTACTTCCTAGGTGGGATGGCGGCTGGGAAGAGGTGCTCCTCACTTCCTAGATGGGATGGCGGCCGGGCAGAGACGCTCCTCACTTCCTAGACGGGATGGTGGCCGGGAAGAGGCGCTCCTCACTTTCCAGACTGGGCAGCCAGGCAGAGGGGCTCCTCACGTCCCAGACGATGGGCGGCCAGGCAGAGACGCTCCTCACTTCCCAGACGGGGTGGCGGCCGGGCAGAGGCTGCAATCTCGGCACTTTGGGAGGCCAAGGCAGGCAGCTGGGAGGTGGAGGTTGTAGCGAGCCGAGATCACGCCACTGCACTCCAGCCTGGGCACCATTGAGCACTGAGTGAACCAGACTCCGTCTGCAATCCCGGCACCTCGGGAGTCCGAGGCTGGCGGATCACTCGCGGTTAGGAGCTGGAGACCAGCCCAGCCAACACAGTGAAACCCCGTCTCCACCAAAAAAGTACGAAAACCAGTCAGGCGTGGCGGCGCACGCCTGTAATCGCAGGCACTCGGCAGGCTGAGGCAGGAGAATCAGGCAGGGAGGTTGCAGTGAGCCGAGATGGCAGCAGTACAGTCCAGCTTCGGCTCGGCATCAGAGGGAGACAGTGGAAAGAGAGGGAGAGGGAGGCCGTGGGCCGTGGGCCATGGGGAGAGGGAGAGGGAGAGGGAGAGGATTTCTATCATTTCTTATTTGAAAAGAAGCTAGATGGACTAATATATTCCAGATCTATGTATCAAGTATCAGTAGCATTTCATGTTAGCAATTTAATAAGGTACCAGGAAACTCCTCTCCTGTATCTCTGGATATATGTCTATTTTCGGTAATAAAGACTGGGATACAAATTGAAATTTACATGGAAGAGTTTAAACATTAAGTCAGCATTAGTTCTTCAAAGTTTGTGTACGCTTATTCAAAATAAAAATTGTACTAAACCACTAGATAATGAGTCCCAATGAGAAAGTAGGCACTTGAATTGAATATACACAGAATGGAAAATTTTAGAATTCAGGAACTTGAAGGAGCTGGTACTGTGGGTATTATTTGCACAATCTGGGTAGAGTTTTAATAAACCAGTGGTATCATGTGTGCTTTAGCTCAGAATATTCCTAGGGCAAAGGTGAGAAGACAGGATATCCAGGTTCAGTAGGATGTCAGAGGAGGGACAGAAAAGAGGAAATAGGAAGGCCTAGAAAACACATCTTAACCATTTTAATGAACTTTGTATCTTGACTCTGAACTGTGCAAAGAAAATCATCTTCTCTATTTTCTCTGGCTTTCCAGAGAGTGGCTATTTTGATTACAGATTTTTTAAGTGTGGCTGCTACACACAGAGATGAAGATTTTGAGTCTACAGTCACGCGTGGCCCACTGCCCAGCTCCTACTCTACACTCTCAATGTTCCACAGGAGCTCTCCAGCACACACACACTCCCTAATAAGTGCAGATGGACAGCAACTCCCTTTAACGCTGCTTGACATATTGTATTTATACAGGTGGAGACAGCAGTTAAATAAAATATGTGAGTTTCATAATCCTTAAATGTCTTCTCTCTTCCTCTCCCCCAGTGTGCTCTGTGTGTTGGACACAAGACTGTTTTCCATAGAAAATAACCACACTGTCCTTTTTAATGTTTTTATACCACAATACCTCTAGGCACTAGTCCACCTTCTAGAAGAAAAACCTAATAAAACCTCAGGAAGTGATTTAATTAGAGCAGAGGAAAAGAGTACTGAGTGAGATAGGGCCAAGGCTGAAATAGCAGAGGGGTGGGGGGATAGCAGGGAAGGAGTTGGGCACTCAGAAAGGCAGTGGAAGACAAACACACTGGCTGATTTAGTAGATGAGGGCAGGGCCCTCTAAGCTACAAACAGAGCAAGGATGATGCAAGAACGTGAGGAAGAGACATTATCAATACGTGGTACCAAGGGTTCCCTAACTGGCATTGTCCCTCTAATTCGAGGCATCTGGACTTCTTTCCTTACCAAAGAACTCCATTATAATTTATAACATGTTATTTTCTTTATTCCAGTAAAAGAGGCATTAATAATCACTCTCTGGTCCATGTTAGAGAGTATCTTTTTTTTAAACAAAGACATAAGCCCAATCTAATAAGAGCAGAATCTCAGTAATTGCTACCATGGTGTTCTATGCAAATGCTGCCTACTAGACTTATCTATCTGGCTTATGACACAGCAATATATAACATTTTTTCAAGTATTCTTTCATGTAACAGAAATTTATAAGCACCTACTCTGTGTAAAAGACATGATACTGCCCTTGAGGAAGTTACAGTCTGTTGTGAGAAATTGAAATGGGAATTACTATAATAAAAAGATGGCAAAGCAACACTGACTTTTTTACCGGGTTAAGGACAGGAAGGAGGGACCACATTCATTTTTTATGTCTGAAAGCAGAGGAAAAGTCACCAAATCCATCTCAGAAGAGGTAACTCATAAGATGGGTTTCAAAGGACACAAAGGATTTTGCTAGATTAAAAAATAAAATAAAAATAAAATACTTTCCTTGAGACAGAAATGTGTATGACCAATGGCATAGATGTGTTGGAGAAATACGAGTGGATTGATGTGGCTAAGCATAGGATGTGATATAAAGAGGGATGAGGTCTGTCAGGAGATATGCCTTGAATGGTATATTGAAACCAGATTGCAAATAAACCTATGGCTAAATATTGTGAACTACATCCTTTAGCAACAAGCAGTCAAAGAAGGGCTGGGAGCAGGCATAGAATCACCAGAACTGGGTGTTAGAAAGTGCACAGGCAGCTGGTAGAGGACCATGAGGGTGTGGCTGGAAGCAGGGAGAACAGTTGAGGCAGAAGTGGTGTCCCAGGAAAAAGACTGGACACTGAAACAGGAAAGTTGGCAGAGGCAGTTGGACACATGAAAGTCCATCTAATTCAACTCAGAAGTTTGACTTTGGAGTCCTGTTGGAATACTCTGAGTCATGGTAAAGAAATATATAACTGGATGGGAGAAAACAAGAACATGTCTTACAAAAGAGAGGAGAAACATGCATGAGCTTCAGGTGAAAGCTGTGAAAAAGTTGGCTTGCTCTGTTTGAGAATATGCATCTTTCTGACTCTGGCCTTTGGAGTCAAAACACATGGTTTGCAATCCATTTCTATCACTGGGCAACTTGGGCAAGTGACTTAACATTTCTATGCTTTATGTTGCTCATCTGTAAAGCGAAAATTACCCCAGTACTTTTCATCAAAAGTGAGAATGTTATGAGGATTAAATGAAATAATACACATAAAGTGCTGAGAAGAGCGTCTGGTTCATCTCAAAAAATCAGTTGTTAAAAGCAGCAGTAGGCATTATTAATCACAAAGACACATTGATAGTCAGTTCATCTTATCCTAAAACATTCAGATAATCTGTTTTTCTTTTTCCAGCCGACATGCAATCCCAAGAGGATCAATTAAAGATAGAAGCAGCTTTTTTTAAAAAAGAGAGTCACTTTTTTGGACCCAGAAATGTTATATTCCAAAAGTTTATTTCATCAGTGGAAGGGGAAGAGATCAATGCCCTCAGAAACTTGTGCAGTTGGGCATCATCTAAATCCCCAGCCTCAATACCCCTGAGGACATAGAGATTCTTGACACCCAGGCAAACACTAATCACATTAGCAAAAAAGCAATGCTTATTATGGCTGACAGCATTGTCCCAAATTATAGGGAAGCAGGGAGGGAGATAAAGATAAAGAAAGGAAAGTAGAAGGAGAAATTCTTTGTTAAAACTCTAATCAGCAGGAAGACCTTCTGAGCAACTAAAAAGAAATTAATATGAGAGAAGAATCTTGATGTGCAGCTACAGCCTCAAAAACAGGATGCAATTAAGTGCTTCTAACAAGGCTCCAGTAGTCTGATGGTAAATGTGGAAAGACCAGCTAATGAAATGTCATGGGGACATTGCTTATAATAATCATATGCCCTGGATGCCAAATGGCACTTTACCTGCTGGAGAAACAGTTACAGAGGAAAAGAACAAAAGCCTACCAGCTGTTAGGAAATAGAACAGAATGAGCTCAAGGCCCTAGGGGAAGGTGGAAAATTAACCCAGCCTCTGTCTTGTTATATTTTCTTTACCACTGTGCTTTTCTCTTCTGGATTTAAAATTGTGTATTTCCAACCAGATAGGGGGGTCTTTTAGAAAAATAGTATTGGACTTGGTGTCTGGACACCAAAATTGGAAATCAGGTGGAGGTAAGATTGTATAGAGCCAGGGAAGTCGTTTATCTTTCAAGACTTTAAAATAACTACCCTTATTATTTGCTTTGTTATTTCCCTTGAATATACAATTTACATTCCCTAGTGGCCAGTTAACTTACTTTAGGCTTCTGACTTATTCAGATCTTTCGTCAAATGAAACCATGTCAGAGAGCTCTTCACTGAATACCTTTATTCAAAATAGTCCTTACACAATCCCCCAGGGACTCTCTAGCCCATTACCCTGCTTCATTTTCTTCACAACATTTTTCAAATCATAAAAATATTATGTTTGTTATTTACTAATACATTATTTTTCTGCCCACTGTGATACAACCTCCATGAGAACAGAAAACATGCACCTCTATTTTGTACACCACAATATCCTCAGTCAGTTGTGCAGTAACAGAATGTATTCAATGGTCTAGATACACTTTGAATGAATTTTTTATCCATAAATGTACATAATTTCTTAATGCTTTCTAGCACTGCTACTCTACTTTCCACTCCCAGATTATTGGATTATCACATACCTTCTCCTCTCTCCTCATCAAGTCTACATGCCTCTTGGTTTTGTTTCTTTAAATTCAACTTCCTTTTCTTTTACAATGACCCTCTTTTAAGTCAAAACATTTTGACTTTTCTGTTCAAAATCTTCACACAAACGCTTCATTCTCCTGCTCTGTTCATTTTTCCTTCTCTACATCATCATTCCCATCAATATATAAATGTGCTGTTACTCCCAGCCATAAAAACAAAGAAAACCACACCCTCTCCAACAACCACCCCATTACAGCACTTGTCAGGGTTACAGAAAATCATTTTCTATAGTGGGCCTTACTCACTGTTTTACTTTATGTCCAATTTTCCTAAAAACTATATCAACCAGGACTTACTCTTCCCCTCTTTTATGAAACACATCACCAAGACCATCAGTGTCCTCCATGCTGTAGAATCCAACAGGCTGTCCTAGGTCCTCATCTTACTTGGCCACCCAGTGACGCCTGACAATTGAACAATTCCTCCTTTTTAAAAAAATCAATGTATTGAGATATAATTAATGTACCATAAAATGCATCCAACTTGATGAATTTTGACAAATGAATGCTCACATGTAATCTGCATTAACTACCAACACAATCAAGGTATTGTCCTCCCCCAAAGTTTTTGTCTGTCCCAGTTAATTTTTCCCCACACTCAAGGCAGTCATTTATCTGTTTTCTGTCACTGTAAATTAGATGTGTTTTTACATATTTTATATAAGTGGGAGTTACACAGTATGTACTTTTTTGCATCTGCCTGTGCTCATCAGCATATTCATTCATTTTATTGCATTAATCAGTAGTTCATTACTTTTTAATGCTGAAGAGCATTTTATTGCTTGAATACACCACTTTTTAAAATTAATTGTACTGCTGATGAACATTTGGATTATTTTTATTGTGGGATTATCAGGAATGAACAGAATGCACATGTATGCATAAACATTTTCAGATGGACAGAGGTACTAGTTTCTATTGGATAAATACCTAGGAATTGAATTCTGGGTCATCAGGTAGGTTCATGTTTACCTGTAAAAGAAATTGTTGGAGGGTCGCTTCCAAGACGGCTGAATATGAACAGCTCCAGTCTACAGCTCCCAGTGAGATTGACACAGAAGATGGGTGATTTCTGCATTTCCAACTGAGGTACCTGGTTTATCTCAGTGGGACTGGTTGGACAGTGGGTGCAGCCCATGGAGGGTGAGCTGAAGCAGGGTGGGGCATCACTTCACCTGGGAAGTGCAAGGGGTCAGGGGATTTCCCTTTCCTAGCCAAGGAAAGCCATGAGTGACTGTACCTGGAGTAGCGGTACACTTCTGTCCAAATACTGCACTTTTCCCACAGTCTTCACAACTGGCAGACCAGGAGATTCCCTCCCGTGCCTGGCTCAGCAGGTCCCACACCCACAGAGTTTTGTTCGCTGCTAGCACAGCAGTCTGAGATTGACCTGGGACTCTGAAGTTTGGTGGGGGGAGGGGCATCTGCCATTGCTGAGGCTTGAGTAGGCAGTTCTATGCTCACAGTGTAAACAAAGTGGCAGGGAAGCTCGAACTGGGCGGAGCTCACCACAGCTCAGCAAAGCCTACTGCCTCTTCAGATTCCACCTCTGGGGGCAGGGTATATCTGAACAAAAGGCAGCAGACAGCTTCTCCAGACTTAAACATCCCTGCCTGACATCTCTGAAGTGGGCAGTGGTTCTCCCAGCATGGTGTTCAAGTTCTGATAATGGACAGACTGCCTCCTCAAGTGGGTCCCTGACCCCAGTGTAGCCTGACTGAGAGACACCTCCCAGTAAGGGCCAACAGACAGCTCAAAAAGATGGGTGCCCCTCTGGGACGAAGCTGCCAGAGGAAGGATCAGGCAGCAATATTTGCTGTTCTGCAGCCTCCACTGGAGATACCCAGGAAAATGGGGTCTGGAGTGGACCTCCAGCAAACTCCAACAGGCCTACAGCTGAGGGGCCAGTCTGTTAGAAGGAAAACTAACAAACAGAAAGGAATAGCATTAACATCAACAAAAAGGACATCCACACCAAAACCCCATCTGTAGGTCACCAACATCAAAGACCAAAAGTAGATAAAGCCACAAAAATGGGGTGAAGCCAGAGCAGAAAGGATGAAAATTCCAAAAATCAGAACTCCTCTTCTCCTCCAAAGGAACACAAGTCCTCGCCAGCAAGGGAACAAAACTGGGTGAAGAATGAGTTTGACGAGTTGACAGAAGTAGGCTTCAGAAGGGCAGTAATAACAAACTTCTCTGAGCTAAAGGAGCATGTTCTAACCCATCTCAAGGAAGCTAAAAACTTTGAAAAAAGGTTAGATGAATGGCAAACTAGAATAACCAGTGTAGAGAAGAGCTCAAATGACCTGATGGAGCTGAAAACCACAGTACGAGAAATTTGAAAAGCACACATATCGGCTTCAATAGCTGACTCGATCAAGTAGAAGAAAGGATATCAGTGATCAAAGATCAAATTAATGAAATAAAGCAAGAAGACAAGATTAGAGAAAAAACAGTAACAAGAAATGAACAAAGCCTCCAAGAAACATGGGACTATGTGAAAAGACCAAATCTACATTTGACTGGTGTGCCTGAGAGAGATGGGGAGAATGGAACCAAGTTGGCAAACACTCTTCAGGATATTATCCAGGAGAACTTCCCCAACCTAGCAAGGCAGGCCAACATTTAAATTCAGGAAATACAGAGAACAACACAAAGATACTCCTTGAGAAAAGCAACCCCAAGACACATAATTGTCAGATTCACCAAGGTTGAAATGAAGGAAAACGTGCTAAGTGCAGCCAGAGAAAAAGATTGGGTCACCCACAAAGGGAAGCCCATCAGACTACCAATGTATCTCTTGGCAGAAACCCTACAAGCCAGAAGAGAGTGGGGGCCAATATTCAACATTCTTAAAGAAAAGAATTTTCAACTCAAATGTCATATCCAGCCAAACTAAGCTTCATAAGTGAATGAGAAATAAAATCCTTTACAGACAAGAAAATGCTGAGAAATTTGTCACCACCAGGCTTGCTTTTCAAGAGCTCCTGAAGGAAGCACCATGGAAAGGAACAACCAGTACCAGCCACTGCAAAAACATGCCAAATCTTAAAGACCATTGACACTATGAGGAAACTGCATCAATTAATGGGTGAAACAACCAGCTAACATCATAATGACAGGATCAAATTCACAAATAACAATATTAACCTTAAATATAAATGGGTTAAATGCCCTATTTAAAAGACACAGACTGGCAAATTGGATACAGAGTCAAGACCCATTGGTATGCTGTATTCAGGAGACCCACCTTATGTGCAAAGAAACATATAGGCTCAAAATAAAGAGATGGAGAAAGATCTATCAAGCAAATGGAAAGAAAAAAAAAGAAAGCAGGGGTTGCAATCCTGGTCTCTGATAAAACAGACTTCAAACCAGCAAAGATCAAAAGAGACAAAGAAGGCCATTACATAATGGTAAAGGGATCAATTCAACAACAAGAGCTGACTATCCTAAATATATATGCACCCAATACAGAAGCACCCAGATTCATAAAGCAAGTTCTCAGAGATCTACAAAGAGACCTAGATTACCACACAATAATAATGGGAGACTTTAACACCCCACTGTCAATATTAGACAGATCATTGAGACAGAAAACTAACAAGGATATCCAGGACTTGAACTCAGCTCTGGACCAAGTGGACCTAATAGACATCTACAGAACTCTCCACCCCAAATCAACAGAATATATGTTCTTCTCAGCACTACATCACACTTATTCTAAAATTGACCACATAATTGGAAATAAAACACTCCTCAGAAAATGTAAAAGAACAGACATCACAACAAACTGTCTCTCAGACCACAGTGCAATAAAATTAGAACTCAGGATAAAGAAACTCACTCAAAACCGCACAACTACATGGAAACTGAACAACCTGCTCCTGAATGACTACTGGGTACATAATGAAATGAAGGCAGAAATAAAAATGTTCTTTGAAACCAATGAGAACAAAGACGCAACGTACCAGAATCTCTGGGACACATTTAAAGCAGTGTGTAGAGGGAAATTTATAGCACTAAACACCCACAAGAGAAAGCAGGAGAGATCTAAAATTGACATTCTAACATGACAATTAAAAAAACTAGAGAAACGAGAGCAAACAAATTCAAAAGCTAGTAGAAGACAAGAAATAACTAAGATCAGAGAAGAACTGAAGGAGATATAGACACAAAAAATCCTTCAAAAAATCAATGAATCCAGGAGCTATTTTTTGAAAAGATCAACAAAATAGATCACTAGCAAGACTAATAAAGAAGAAAAGAGAGAAGAATCAAATAGACACAATAAAACATGATAAAGGGGATATCACCACTGATCCCACAGAAATACAAACTACCATCAGAGAATACTATAAACACCTCTATGCAAATAAACTAAAAAATCTAGAAGAAATGGATAAATTCCTGGAAACATACACCCTCCCAAGACTAAATCAGGAAGAAGTTGAATCTCTCAATAGACCAATAACAGGCTCTGAAATTGAGGCAATAATTAATAGCCTACCAACCAAAAAAAGTCCAGGACCAGAAGGATTCACAGCCGAATACTACCAGAGGTACAAATAGGAGCTGGTACTATTCCTTCTGAAACTTTTCCAATCAATAGAAAATAGAGAATCCTCTCAAACTCATTTTATAAGGCCAGCATCATCCTGATACCACATCCTAGCAGAGACACAACAAAAAGAATTTTAGGCCAATATCCCCTATGAACTTTGATGCAAAAATCTTCAATAAAATACTGGCAAAATGAATCCAGCACACATCAAAAAGCTTATCCACCATGATCAAGTTGGCTTCATCCCTGGGATGCAAGGCTGGTTCAACATATGCAAATCAATAAACATAATCCATCACATAAACAGAACCAACAACAAAAACCTGATGATTATCTCAATAGATGCAGAAAAGGCCTTTGACAAAAATCAACAGCCTTTCATGCTAAAAACTCTCAATAAACTAGGTATCAAAGGAATGTTCCAATGTTCCCAAAATAATAAGAGCTATTTATGACAAACCCACAGCCAATATCATATTGAAAGGGCAAAAACTGGAAAGATTCCCTTTGAAAACCAGCACAAGACAAGGATGCCCTCTCTCACCACTCCTATTCAACATAGTATTGGAAGTTCTGGTAAGGGCAATCAGGCAAGAGAAAGCAATAAAGGATTATCAAATAGGAAGAGAGGAAGTCAAATTGTCTCTGTTTGCAGATGACATGATTGTATATTTAGAAAACCCCATTGTCTCAGATCAAAATCTCCTTAAGCTGATAAGCAACTTCAGCGAAGTCTCAGGATACAAAATCAATGTGCAAAAAATCACATGCATTCCTATACACAAATAATACACAAACAGAGAGCCAAATCATGAGGGAATTCTCATTCACAATTGCTACTAAGAGAATAAAATACCTAGGAATATATCTTACAAGGGATGTGAAGGACCTCTTCAAGGAGAAGTACAAACCAATGCTCAACGAAATAAAAGAGGATACAAACAAATGGAAAAACATTCCATTCTCATGGATAGGAAGAAGCAATATCATGAAAATGGTCTTACTGCCCAAAGTAACGTACAGATTCAATGCTATCTCCATCAAGCTACCTTCACAGAACTGGTAAAAACTACTTTAAACCTCATATGGAACCAAAAAGGAGCCTGCATAGACAAGACAATCTGGAAAAGAAGAACAAAGCTGCAGGCATCACACTGCCTGACTTCAAACTATACTAGAAGGTGACAGTAAGGAAAACAGCATGATCCTGGGGCCAAAACAGATATATAGACCAATGGAACCAGAGGCCTCAGAAATAACACCACACATCTACCACCATCTGATCTTTGACAAACCTGACACACACAATCAAAGGGGAAAATATTTCCTATTTAATAAATGATGTTGGAAAAACTGGCTAGCCATATATAGAAAACTGAAAATGTTGGTGTGCTGCACCCATTAACTCATCATTTACATTAGGTATATCTCCTAATGCTATCCCTCCCCCCTCCCTCACCCAGGAAGTGCAAAGGGTCAGGGAATTCCCTTTCCTAGCCAAGCAAAGCTGTGACAGATGGCATCTGGAAAATCCGGTCACTCCCACCCTAATACTGCCCTTTTCCAATGGTCTTAGCAAACGGCACACCAGGATATTATATCCTGCGCGTGGCTCAGAGGGTCCCATGCCCATGGAACCTTGCTCATTGCTAGCACAGCAGTCTGAGATCCAACAGCAAGGCAGCAGCGAGGCTGGGGGATGGGTGCCCGCCATTGCTGAGGCTTGAGTAGGTAAACACAGCAGCCAGGAAGCTTGAACTGGGTGGGCCCACTGCAGCTCAAGGAGGCCTGCCTGCCTCTGTAGACTCCACCTCTAGGAGTAGGGCATAGCTGAACAAAAGGCAGCAGAAACCTCTGCAGACTTAAATATTCCTGCCTGACAGCTTTCAAGAGAGTAGTGGTTCTCCCAGCACGGAGTTTGAGATCTGAGGAGAGACAGACAGCCTCCTCAAGTGGGTCCCTAACCCCCGAGTAGCCTAACTGGGAGGCACCCCCCAGTAGGGGCAGACTGACACCTCACACGGCCGGGTGCCCCTCCGAGACGAAACTTCCAGAGGAATGATCAGGCAGCAACATTTGCTGTTCAGCAGTATTCGCTGTTCTGTAGCCTCTGCTGCTGATACCCAGGGAAACAGCGTCTGGAGTGGTCCTCCAGCAAACTCCAACAGACCTGCAGCTGAGGGTCCTGACTGTTAGAAGGAAAACTAACAAACAGAAAGGACATCCACACCAAAACCCCATCTGTATGTCACCATCATCAAAGACCAAAGGTAGATAAAGACACAAAGATGGGGAAAAAACAGAGCAGAAAAACTGAAAATTCTAAAAATCAGAGTGCCTCTCCTCCTCCAAAGGAATGCAGCTCCTCACCAGCAATGGAACAAAGCTGGACGGAGAATGACTTTGATGAGCTGAGAGAAGAAGGCTTCAGGTGACCAAACTTCTCTGAGCTAAAGGAGGAAGTTTGAACCCATCGCAAAGAAGTTAAAAACCTTGAAAAAAGATTAGACGAATGGCTAACTAGAATAACCAATGTAGAGAAGTCCTAAAATGACCTCATGGAGCTGAAAACCAAGGCATGAGAACTACGTGATGAATGCACAAGCTTCAGTAGCTGATTCAATCAACTGGAAGAAAAGGTATCAGTGATGGAAGATCAAATGAATGAAATGAAGTGAGAAGACAAGATTAGAGAAAAAAGAATAAAAAGAAACAAAACAAAGCCTCCAAGAAATATGAGACTATGTGAAAAGACCAAATCTATGTCTGATTGGTGTACCTGAAAGTGACGGGGAGAATGGAACCAAATTGGCAAACACTCTTCAGGATATTATCCAGGAGAACTTCCCCAACCTAGCAAGGCAGGCCAACATTCAAATTCAGGAAATACAGAGAACACCTCAAAGATACTCCTTGAGAAGAGCAACTCCAAGACACATAATTGTCAGATTCACCAAAGTTGAAATGAAGGAAAATATGTTAAGGGCAGCCAGAGAGAAAGGTCGGGTTACACACAAAGGGAAGCCCATCAGACTACCAGTGGATATCTTGGCAGAAACCCTACAAGCCAGAAGAGAGTGGGGGCCAATATTTAACATTCTTAAAGAAAAGAATTTTCAACCCAGAATTTCATATCCAGCCAAACTAAGCTTCATAAGTGAAGGAGAAATAAAATCCTTTACAGACAAGCAAATGCTGAGAGATTTTGTCACCACCAGGCCTGCCCTAAAAGAGCTCCTGAAGGAAGCACTAAACGTGGAAAGGAACAACCGGTACCAGCCACTGCAAAAACATGCCAAATTATAAAGACCATTGATGCTAGGAAGAAACTGCATCAATTAACGAGCAAAATAACCAGCTAACATCATAATGACAGTATCAAATTCACACATAACAATATTAACCATCAATGTCAATGGGATAAATGCTCCAATTTAAGGACACAGAATGGTAAATTGGATAGAGAGTCAAGACCCATCAGTGTGCTGTATTCAGGAGACCCATCTCAAGTGCAGAGACACACATAGGCTCAAAATAAAGGAATAGAGGAAGACGTACCAAGCAAATGGAAAATAAAAAAAAGCAGGGGTTGCAATCCTAGTCTCTGATAAAACAGACTTTAAACCAACAAAGATCAAAAGAGACAAAGAAGGCCATTACATAATGGTAAAGGGATAAATTCAACAAGAAGAACTAACTATCCTAAATATATATGCACCTAATACAGGAGCACCCTGATTCATAAGAAAAAGTCCTTATAGACCTACAAAGAGACTTAGACTCCCACACAATAATAATGGGAAACTTTAACACCCCACTGTCAACATTAGATAGATCCACGAGACAGAAAGTTAACAAGGATATCCAGGAATTGAACTCAGCTCTGCATCAAGCAGACCTAATAGACATCTACAGAATGCTTCACCCCAAATCAACAGAATATACATTCTTCTCAGCACCACATCGCACTTATTCCAAAATTGACCACCTAGTTGGAAGTAAAGCACTCCTCAGCAAATGTAAAAGAACAAAAACTATAACAAACTGTCTCTCAGACCACAGTGCAAGCAAACAAGAACTCAGGATTAAGAAACCCACTCAAAACCGCTCAATGACATGGAAACTGAACAACCTGCTCCTGAATGACTATTGGGTACATAATGAAATGAAGGCAGAAATAAAGATGTTTTGAAACCAATGAGAACAAAGACAAAACATACCAGAATCTCTGGGACACATTTAAAGCAGTGTGTAGAGAGAAATTTATAGCGCTAAATGCCCACAAGAGAAGGCAGGAAAGATCTAAAATTGAAACCCTAACATCACAATTAAAAGAACTAGAGAAGCAAGAGCAAACACATTCAAAAGCTAGCAGAAGGCAAGAAATAACTAAGATCAGAGAAGAACTGAAGAAGATAGAGACACAATAAATCCTTCAAAAAATCAATGAATCCAGGAGCTGGTTTTTTTAAAAGATCAACAAAATTGATAGACTGCTAGCAAGACTAATAAAGAAGAAAAGAGAGAAGAATCAGATAGATGCAATAAAAAATGATAAAGGGGATATCACCACCGATCCCACAGAAATACAAACTACCATCAGAGAATACTATAAACACCTCTACGCAAAGAAACTAGAAAATTTAGAAGAAATGGATAAATTCCTTGACACATACACCCTCCCAAGACTAAACCAGGAAGAAGTTGAATCTCTGAATAGACCAATAACAGGCTTGAAATTGAGGCAATAATTAATAGCTTACCAACCAAAAAAAAGTCCAGGACCAGATGGATTCACAGCCGAATTCTACCAGAGGTACAAGGAGGAGCTTGTACCATTCCTTCTGAAACTATTCCAATCAATAGAAAAAGAGGGAATCCTCCCTAACTCATTTTATGAGGCCAGCATCATCCTGATACCAAAGCCTGGCAGAGACACAACAAAAAAAGAGAATTTTAGGCCAATATCCCTTATCAACATTGATGCAAAAATCCTCAGTAAAATACTGGCAAACAGAATCCAGCAGCACATCAAAAAGCTTATCCACCATGAACAAGTGGGCTTCATCCCTGGGATGCAAGGCTGGTTCAACATACACAAATCAATAAACATAATCCAGCATATAAACAGAACCAAAGGCAAAAACCACATGATTATCTCAATAGATGCAGAAAAGGCCTTTGACCAAATTGAACAGCCCTTCATGCTAAAAACTCTCAATAATTTAGGTATTGATGGGACGTATCTCAAAATAATAAGAGCTATTTATGACAAACTCACAGCCAATGGGGTTTGTCATACAGAAGGGGCAAAAACTGGAAGCATTCCCTTTGAAAACTGGCACAAGACAGGGTTGCCCTCTCTCACCACTCCTATTCAACATACTGTTGGAAGTTCTGGCCAGGGCAATCAGGCAGGAGAAAGAAAGAAAGGGTATTCAACTAGGAAAAGAGGAAGTCAAATTTTCCCCATTTGCAGATGACATGATTGTATATCTAGAAAACCCCATCATCTCAGCCCAAAATCTCCTTAAGCTGATAGGCAACTTCAGCAAAGTCTCAGGATACAAAATCAATGTGCAAAAATCACAAGCATTCTTATACACCAATAACAGACAAACAGAGAGCCAAATCATGAGTGAACTCCCATTCACAATTGCTTCAAAGAGAATAAAATACCTAGGAATCCAACTTACAAGGGATGTGAAGGACCTCTTCAAGGAGAACTACAAACCACTGCTCAAGGAAATAAAAGAGGATACAAACAAATGGAAGAACATTCCATGTTCATGGATAGGAGGAATCAATATTGTGAAAATGGCCATCCTGCCCAAGGTAATTTATAGATTCAATGCCATCCCCATCAAACTACCAATGACTTTCTTCACAGAATAGGAAAAAGCTACTTTAAAGTTCATATGGAACCAAAAAAGAGCCCGCATTGCCAAGTGAATCCTAAGCCAAAAGAACAAAGCTGGAGGCATCATGCTACCTGACTTCAAACTATACTACAAGGCTACAGTAACTAAAACAGCATGGTACTGGTACCAAAACAGAGGTATACACCAATGGAACAGAACAGAGCCCTCAGAAATAATACCACACATCTACAACCATCCAGTCTTTGACAAACCGGACAAAAACAAGAAATGGGGAAATGATTCCCTATTTAACAAATAGTGCTGGGAAAACTGGCTAGCCATATGTAGAAAGCTGAAACTGGATCCCTTCCTTACACCTTGTACAAAAATCAATTCAAGGTGGATTAAAGACTTAAATGTTAGACCTAAAACCATAAAAACCCTAGAAGAAAACCTAGGCAATACCATTCAGGACATAGGCATCGGCAAGGCCTTCAAGTCTAAAACATCAAAAGCAATGGCAACAAAAGCCAAAATTGACAAATGGGATCTAGTTAAACTAAAGAGCTTCTGCACAGCAAAAGAAACTAGCATCAGAGTGAACAGGCAACCTACAGAATGGGAGAAAATTTTTGCAATCTACTCATCTGACAAAGGGCTAATATCCAGAATCTACAATGAACTCAAACAAATTTACAAGAAAAAATCAAACAACCCCATCAACAAGTGGGTGAAGGATATGAACAGACACTTCTCAAAAGAAGACATTTATGCAGCCAACAGACACATGAAAAAATGCTCATCATCACTGGCCATCAGAGAAATGCAAATCAAAACCACCATGAGATACCATCTCGCACCAGTTAGAATGGCAATCATTAAAAAGTCAGGAAACAACAGGTGCTGGAGAGGATGTGGAGAAATAGGAACACTTTTGCACCGTTGGTGGGACTGTAAACTAGTTCAACCATTGTGGAAGACAGTGTGGCGATTCCTCAGGGATCTAGAACTAGAAATACCATTTGACCCAGCCATCCCATTACTGGATATATACCCAAAGGATTATAAGTCATGCTGCTATAAAGACACATGCACACGTATGTTTATTGCGACACTATTCACAATAGCAAAGACTTGGAACAAACCCAAATGTCCATCAATGATAGACTGGATTAAGAAAATGTGGCACACATATACCATGGAATACTATGCAGCCATAAAAAATGATGAGTTCATGTCCTCTGTAGGGACATGGATGAAGCTGGAAACCATCATTCTCAGCAAACTATCACAAGGACAAAAAACCAAACACTGCATGTTGTCACTCATAGGTGGGAATTGAACAATGAGAACACTTGGACCCAGGAAGGGGAACATCACACACCAGGGCCTGTTGTGGGATGGGGGGAGGGATAGCATTAGGAGATATACCTAATGTAATGGACGAGTTAATGGGTTCAGCACACCAACATGGCACATGTATACATATGTAACAAACGTGCACATTGTGCCCATGTACCCTAGAACTTAAAGTATAATTTAAAAAAAAAAGAATAGGCATTATTTATTCCTTAAGTGTTTTGTAGAATTAATTAAGCTATCTCATTCTACAGTTTTCATCGTGCAAACATTTTAGCTATGAGACTTCTTTATTTAATAGATACATGGCTCTCTAGATTAGTTTATCTTGCTTGCTCTTGAGCAAATTTTATTTCTATCTTTCCGGAATGTGTCAATTTTATCTAAGTTGTCGAATTTATTTTATCAGATTACTGTCAATGGTTCCTTATTGGCTTCTTTAAGCTCTGCTGTGATTTTACTTCTCATATTCCTGATATTTGGCAATTTTTGAATTTACGTATTTGTTTTTCTTGACCTGAGTCAAGGTTTACCAATACTGATGATTTTTTCAAAGAATCAGCTTTTAGTTTAATTGTTTTTCTCTATTGTTGGTATAGTTTATATTTCATTGATTTTAGCTCTTTATTTTTTTTCTGCTATATGTGAAAATAATTTGTTCTTTTCTTAACTTACTTTTATGGAAAATAAGTCATTGATTTGTGCTTTTCTTCTTTTCCAATAAAACTGTTTAATACTTTAGATTTCCAGCTGCTTTTCACCGTTTATGTACATTGTATTTTTAAGTCAATTCAAAATATTTTCAAATTTTTAAATAACTTTTTGACCTATATCTTATATAAAATGTAATATTAGCTTCTAAAAATGGTAATTTTTTTCACATGACATTCCTTGAAGTAGCTTTGTAACAGAATAATATAAAATTGTAATTTTAAGGGTACAATTATATGATTTTTGTAAATTGACATAATTGTGCTACCATCTCCACCATCCAACTTTAATCATCCCCAAATATCCCTTATGATCATGTTTTCTATTGTGGTTAAAAAAAAGCCACATAACACAATGTCTACGTTATAAACAAATTTTTTAGTGTATGGCACAGAACTGTTAAGTATATGCATTGTTATACAGCAGATCTGTAGAACACTTTTATCTTGTGTGGTTGAAACTCTATACCCATTTCACAGATGACAGTTTACCCCTCAACCCAGCCCCTGCAACCATCATTTTTCTTTCTGTTTCTATGAGTTTGAACACTCCAAACAGCTCACCACTATTTTTCTTTCTGTTTCTATGAGTTTGAACACTCCAGACAGATCAAGTAAGTAGAAACATGCAGTATTTGTCTTTCAGTAGCTGGCTTACTGGGCTTAGATAATGTCCTCAAGTTTTATCTACGTTGTAGCATATGAAGATTTCATTTTTTTTATGATTGAATAATATTCCAATGTGTATTATGCCACATTTTTTCATCCATTTGTCCATTGATGAATACTAAGAATGAGTCTATTTTGGCACATGAGTCACAATAATGAGTCACAACTTGGGCAATTGTGAATACTACTACTACAATAACCATGGAAATTCAGATATATCATCAATATATTGATTTCCTTTCTTTTGAATATATACCCAGTAGTGGGATTGCTGGATTGTATGGCTGTTCTATTTTTAATTTTTAAAGGAATCTCCACTCTGTTTGCTGTAGCTGCTGCACCATTTTTCAGCGATCAACAGCATGCAAGAGTTCTAATTTTTCCACATCCTTGCCACATTTGTTATTATCTTGGTTTTGTTTGTGTGTGTGTTTGTATGTCTGTGTTTTTGATAATGGCCATCCTCACAGGCAAGAGGTAAAACGTCATTGTGATTTTGATTTGCATTTCCCTAATGAGTGGTGACATTGAGCATATTTTCATATACCCGTTGGCTATTTGTATGCCTTCTTTGGAGAAATGTCTATCTAATGCAGGCCCTTTGCCCATGTTTTATAAGTGGATGTTAATTACTGAGTAGATCCTTTGCCCAGGTCTTGTAAGCAGATGTTAGCCATTTATTTATTTATTTGTTTTGTTATTGAATTGTAGGAGTTCCATGTATATTTTGGATGTTAACCACTTATATAGTTTGCAGCTATTTTCTCCCATTCTGTAGGTTGTCATTCACTCTACTTAGTGTTTCCTCGCCTCACAGAAGATTGGTAGTTTGATTTAGTCTCACTTGTCTATTTTTGCTTTTGATCCCTGTCCTTTTGGTGTCATGTCCAGGAAATCACTGCCAATATCAATGTCATGAAGTATTACCCTTATTTTTAATTCCAGGAGTGTTACGGTTTCAGGTCTCACATTTAAATCTTTCATCCAGTTTAAGTTGATTTAATGTATAGTGTAAGATGGGCCCAATTTCATTTAATTGCATGTGGATAATCCAGTTTTCTCAACACTATTTGTTGAAGAGACTATCCTTTTTCCTAGTATGTATTCTTGACACTCATGTTGAAGATTAGTTGACCACATATATATTGGTTTATTTCTGGGCTCTCTAGTCTGTCCCATTGGTCTGTGTCTGTTTTTATTACTGTACTGATGACAAAAGCTTTGTGATATGTTTTCAAATCAGGAAGTATGAGGCTTCTATCTTTGTTCTTTGTCTAGATTGTTTGGCTATTGGGGGTCTTTGGTGATTTTATATGAATTTTTGGATTGTTTTTCTATATTTGCAAAACAATACCATAGGGATTTTGAAAAATATTGCATTGGAATCTGTAGATTTTTTATTTCCATAAACACAAGATGTATTTCCATTTGTTTCTTCCTTAATGTCTCTTAGCAATGTTTTGTAGTTTTTGCGTACAAGTCTTTTACTTCCTTGATTAAGTTTATTCCTAAATATTTGATTCTTTATTAATTATCTTTCAGATTTTTATTTTTATTATCTTTTCACATTGTTCATTGTTAGCTTATAGAAACACAACTAACGTTTGCATGTCAATTTTTGTATCCTGCAGTTTTGCTGAATTCATTTATTACATCTGACAGTTTTCTTGTGGATTCCTTGGAGTTTTCTGTATATAAGATCTTCCCATCTGTAAACAGAGAAAATTTTACTTCTTTCTTTTCACTTTGGATGCCTTTTGTTTGTTTATTAATTTTTTTGCCTAATTGCTCTAGCTAGGATTTTCAGTGTTATGTTGAACAGAAGTGGCTAAAGTAGGCATCACTGCATTATTCCTGATCTTAGCAGAAAAGCTCTCAGCTCTCAGTTTTTCACCATTACTGTAAAGTTAGCTGTGGGATTTTCTTTGTTGGCCTTTTTTTTTTTTTTTGAGACGGAGTCTGGCCCAGGCTGGAGTGCAGTGGCACGATCTCCGCTCACTGCAAGCTCCGCCCCCCCAGGTTCATGCCATTCTCCTGCCCCAGCCTCCCGAGTAGCTGGGACTACAGGCGCCCGCCACCACGTCCGGCTAATTTTTTTGTATTTTTAGTAGAGACGGGGTTTCACTGTGTTTGCCAGGATGGTCTTGATCTCCTGACCTCGTGATCCGCCTGCCTCAGCCTCCCAAAGCACTGGGATTGCAGGTGTGAGCCACCTCGCCCGGTCCATTTGTTGGCCTTTATTATGACTTTTATTATGTAGAGGTAATTTCCTTCTATTCCTAGTTTGTTGAGTGTTTTTATTGTGAAACTGTCTTGAGTTTTATAAAGCACATTTTCTACATCTACTCAGATGATCATGTTATTTTTATCCTTTTTTTCTAATAATGTGCTGTATCATTTTCATTGACTGATGTTGATTTATCCTTGCATCCCATGGACAAATCCAATTTGGTCATGGTATAAGATTCTTTTAATGTACTGTTGAATTTGACTTGCTAGTTTTTTCTTGGGGATTTTTGCATCTATGTTCATCAGAGATATTTATTTGCAGTTTACTTTTCTTCGAGTGTATTTGTCTGTCTTTGGTATAAGAGTAATGATGGTTTCATTAAATGAGTCTGAGTATTTATTACTTTTCAATTTTTTGGAAGAATTTGAAACAGATTTGCATTATTTATCCTTTAAAGTTTTGGTAGAATTCTTCAGTGAAGTCATCTGGTCATCAGCTTTTGTTTATTGGAGGGTTTTCAATTACTAACTCACATTTACTAGTTACAGATCTGTTCAGGTTTCCTATTTCTCCATGATTCATCTGTATTAAGTTGTATGTTTCTAGAAGTTTATCCATTATTTTAGGTTATCCAATTTGTTTACCTGCAATTATTCATGAGATTCTCTTAGAATCTTTTTCATTTCTGTGACATTAGTTGTAATTTGTCCTCCTTCATTTCTCATTTTATTCATTTAAATCTTTTCTCATTTTTTTCAGTCTAGCTAAGATGTGTTAATTTTGTTGATCTTTTCAAAAACCAAATCTTAGTTTTATTGATTTTTTCTATTGCTTTTCTATTCTTTATTTTGCCTAGTTTTCCTCTAATCTTTGTTATCTTCTTTCTTCTGCTAACTTTGAGCTCAGTGTGTTTTTCTTTTCCTTTTTCATTGAGGTATAAAGCTAGGTTGTTTTTTTCTAAGAAAACTTTCGTGTAGTTTTCTATGAAAACTTTTAGTATAGGCACATACTGCTATAAACTTCCCTCTTTTTACTGCTTTAGCTGAATCTCAGTTCTGGTATACTGTATTTTCATTTTCATTTATCTCAGTATATTGTCTAATGTACTTTTTGATTTCTTCTTTGAAAGATTGGTTGTTTGGAAGTGTGTTAATTTCTACAAATTTGTACATTTTTGAGTTTTTGTTCTGCCACTGATTTCTGGATTCATTTCATTGTGTCAGAAAATATACTTGTTGTGATTCCAATTTTTACTTTGTTAAGGCTTGTTTTGTTACCTAACATGTGATCTATCCTGGAGAATGTTTCATGTGCCATTGGGAATAATATGCATTCTCTTCCTTTTGGGTAAAATACTCTTTATATATGTTAGGTTCATTTGTTCCATAGTGTTGCTTAAGTTTTCTATTTCCTTATTACTGATCTTCTATCTGATTATTCTATTTATTATTGAAAATGGATATTAAAATCTCAAACTGTTACTGTATTTCTATTTGTCCCTTCGGTTCTGTCAATGCTTGCTTCACATGTTTGCTCTGATATTTAGTGCGTATATAATATTGTTCTGTCTTCCTGGTGAATTCATCCTTTTATCATTATATGATATCATTATCCTTTTCTCTTGTGATAGTTTTTGGCCTAAAGTCTATTTTGTCTGATATAAGTATGGCTACACCTACTCACTTTTTGTTATCATTTATATGTAAAATCTTTTCTCTTCCTTTTACTGTCACTCTATGTGTCCTTAAATCCAAAGTAAGTCTCATTTAGACAGCATATAATTGGATCCTTTTTATTTTGCACAGTCAGACACTCTATAACTTCTGATTGGAGAGTTTAATCCATTTACATTGGAAGTAGTTATTGATAGGAAAGGACTTACTGCCATTTAGTTCATTATTTTATATCTTATAAATTTTGTTTTTTTCTCTATTTCTGTCTCCAAAATTTCTGTTTGTTTCTTTTAAATACTTTTTATCTTCTTGTTGATATTCTCATTTTGTTCATGCCTTATTTTCCTGAATATATTGCATACTTTATGATGGTTATTTTGAATGCTTTGTCAGTTTCTTTAAATGTCTTGTTACTTTGTGTTGTTATCTGGGCATTCGAAAAACAGTCACCTTTTCCATCTTTATTGACTGGCTTTGTACTGGAAAACACCTTCACCAATCAGCCTGGCTAGAGATTCTAGGGACCTCTCAAAACTTTTCTACAGGTGCATCTTCTCTGGACTTGTGCTTATGAAGTCCAGATTAGAAAGGTTTTGCTGGTTTCTTTATTCAGGAGCTTGAAATCTCTTGCTCCTTCTGGTGCCTACCTGTGGTACTGAGGATTCTCTGGGGCTGCTCTCATTCACCCAGCTCTTTTGTGTTCTCAGTGCTTCCCCCTCATACACCACACCCCAGACATGTAGAGTATGTGGGTTCTCTCTGAGTCGGATGAGACAAAAACCAAGTTTTTCAGGTAGGCCCCTGAAGAATCTGAATATTAGATATATGTTTACTTTCCTTCCTGAGGGAGAAGCCAGATGTTACGTGTCTCCTTCTAATTGATCACACTATGCTCTGGCAAGTGAGTGACACAGATTTTCCCACAAGTTTCAATGCTGCCGGTTTTGTGCTTATCTGATATACTGAAGCCTTTTATCTAGATTCTGGATTTTTCACAAGTGGAAGTGGTTTACTTATTGCTGTAGAATTGTCGTTTCCATGGGAGAAGGAGGGTGTGGAGCCCCACACACCATGGAATTCTCTGTTGTTCATTAGTTCTAATCAATTGCCCTTCTCAGAAACTCAATCTCCTTCTCTGGGACTGGGGCTCAAGTTGGTATCAGATAAAGCTCATGTATCTTCTTCTTCCAAGGGTCCATATGTTGGAAGATTTTTTCTTGATATGGACAAATTCTCTAAACAAAAAATTATGCCTGATAAAAGTACCAAGAAATGCCTATTGTTTAGAATTCCCGAAGCCTTGACCTGAAAACCTGGTCGTATTTGTGTCCAAAGTAAAAGTAAGAAATTTCCACGTATTTATGCCGTTTACCCCATTCATGTATTAAAAACAACCCCCAATGTGATAATATTAGAAGATGGGGTCATTGGGAAGTAATTAGGTCAAGAGATGGAAGTCCTCATGAATGGGGATAGTGCCTTTATAAAAAGACACTGGAGAACTTCCTTTTCACTCTGTTTTGGGCTGCATGAGAGGACACAATGAGACATTGGCCATTTGCATCCCAGAAAAATTTCCTCATCAGAATGCAACCATACTGAGACACCTGAGCTCAGGTTTCCAGCCTTCTGAACTATGAGAATTAAATTTCTATTATTTTTAAGCTACCCAGTCTATGGTTATTTCTTATAGCATCCTGAAATGATGAAAACAGAAATAGATATAGAGAAATGGGATGCTGCTACAGCAAATACCTAAAAATTTGGAGGCAGCTTTGAACTGAGTAATTGCAGGCTGGAAGAGTTTTGAAGTGCATACTAGAAGAACTGAAGTGGTCATAAAAAGATTTTTAAAGAGGATTCTAGCAAAAGTTCAGAAAAGAAAGAAGAAGGCTGTAGAGTTTCCATCTTCACACAGAATACATGAATAATCATATACAAAATGTTGGTAGAAACATAGACAGTAAAGGCCATTCTGATGGGGTCTCAGATGGAAATGAGGAACATATTATTGGACAACAGAGCAAAGGCAATCCCTGTTATAAAGTAGCAAAAAACCTGTCTGGACTGTATTCATGTTCTAGTGTTTCGTGAGAATAGAATTTCAAGAGTGCAATTGGATATTTCCAATTAGTAGAGGAGATGTCTAAGCAAAACATTAAAGCAGTGGCTTCATTCCTTGACAGCTTATAGTAAAATGTAAGAAGAGAGAAATATCTTGAAGATAAAATTATTAAGCAAAAAGGAACTGAAACAAAGGTGTGGAAAATTATCAGCTTATTCATATTGCAAAAATAAAAAATCAAAAGGGGGAAAGCATGTTTGGAAAAGAACACGAAGGGTGTGGCCAAGCAACTGTTTGATAAGGAAAAAGTACAGATGTGAACTAGAGACTTAATCAGCCACTCCAGCAGATATTGCTAGTTTGAATTGAAGAAGGGTAAAAATATGATAAGGAATGAAGAAAAGTTGTCAGACTTTTTTGATTTTATAGGATGAGACCATAGAGCTATTCAGTGTCAATTCTATTCTTTAAGATAAGGGAAGAAGGACCCCAAAGATAATGAACAGATAATCAGGGCTCCCTCTTTTCTTTCCAAAGGGAGAACAGGGGCATGGCCAAGCTTTCAACAGGCCAGATGACCTCTACCAAAATCCTCAGGGGTAGGGCTGCCAGAAGCTGTGGGAGTTCAACCCCTGCCCAGTGGAGCCTTGAGGTGGAACCCTTACTTAGCAGAGCAGGTGTGAGATCACTGCCCCAGTGTGTCTGGAAGGCAGGACCACCAGCCAGGTGGGTCTGGAAAGCAGAAGATTGAGCCAAAGAGGATTATTCTCAAGTCTTAAGATCACCAGGAGTTTGCCTTTCTCCCTTGGGACCCATCACCCCTTCCTTTTTTGCTATGACTCTCTTTCGGAGTAGGAATATTATCCAATGCTTGTCCCACTCTTGTATTTTAGAAACGCATAACTTGTTTAATTTCTCAGGAGATGAACTTTGTCTCAGGACTGTACTTCCAGTCTTACCCATATGTGGTTTCAATAATATTTAAATGAGACTTTGGACTTTGTACTTTGAAGTTGATGCTGGAATGAATTAAATTCTCATGACCATTGAAATGAAATAAACAGATTTGGCATGTGAGAAGGACATAAATTCGGGGAGGGGGGCAGGGGAAGAATGCTATTGACTGAATGTTTGCGTCTTCCTCAAATTCCTATGTTGAAACCCTAACCTTCAATGTGCTAATCTTGGAAAGTGAGGCTTTTAGGAGGTAATTAGGTTGTGCAGGTGGAGACCTCCTGAATGGGACTGGCAAACTTAAAATTGGACACCATAGGGCTTGCTTTTTCACTTTCTGTTCTCTGCCATGTGAGGGCACAATAAGTCAGCCATCTGCAATCTAGAAGAAGGTCCTCACCAGAACTCAACCATGCTGACACCCTGAATGTGGACTTCTAGACTCCAGAACTATGAGGAATAAATAGCAGTTGTTCATAAGCCACCCAATGTTTGGTACAACTTGAATCACCTAAGACACCTGGACTACATGGTGGCTGTTTTCCTTATTTTTAAGCCTTCTGAATACAAGCTAGTTCCCTTTAATTCATTAATCCCTACTGCCAACTGCTTTCAATTAGTGTTTAACTCAGTGTTAAGTAGTTTTTGTTTTTGTTATGGTTGTTGTAGTTTTTTTCCTTCTATTTTTACCATTTAAGTTATATTTGAATTACTATGGATAGCTCTGCTTATCACTTTTAAACTGCTTTAGCAACTAAAGTCAATTCCATTTATTTTTAGAAACATAGCTGTTCCCTGATGCACTTCACAGCTGTTTCACTTCATTCTTTCAAATATCATTTAAAAATAATTATTGGTCGGACACAGTGGCTCACACCTGTAATCCCAGCACTTTGGGAGGCCAAGGTGGGATAATGGCTTGAACCCAGGAGTTTTAGACCAGTCTAGGCAACCTGCCAAAAACATGTGTCTACAAAAATATGGAAATTATCTGGGCATGGTGGTATGTGCCTGTATCACAGCTACTTGGGAGGATGAGGTGGGAGGATAACCTGGGCTTGGGGAAATCGAGGCTGCAGTGAGCCATGATCATGCCACCGTACTCTAACCTTGGTGACAGAGTGAGACTGCGTCTCCAAAAAAATATTATTAATTGCATTTTAGTATTAGGTCTAATTATCAATTCAATAGTCATGAGGTAAAGCTTTTTTTTTTTTTTTTTGCTGCTGTTCTGCTTATAAATTGAGCTTCCAAAATCTCCCTTCAGAAGTCAATATTCTTTAAGGTTAGAAAGAGAATGTTAGCTAGAATTTTCTTTTTCTGTGTCTCCCCATGTTACTCAATCTACATAAGTTTACCTTCAATAATGACTTATTTCCGCAAATACTATATGTTACCTGGAGACAGCTTTCAGTCATCCATCATTCTGCTTTGAATTTAACAAGAACTCTGACAATTGCTTTATCCTGGATACTAAAGCTGCCCTTCAAGTTCTTCAGTATCTGACTTATATACCACTCCTTATGCTGACAGAATGTTTTCCTGAAATTATTAAATTATTGTCTTTTGCCTAGTGAACGCTCAAAATATATTAAAATAATAAAATCCCTTTAAAAACATAGAAAATAGATTTCTCACATTTTCTTAGTTGGACAGCTCAAAGAAAATTATGAAGTTGGTGAAATTCAGATCATCATACTCTCCCCTATCTGCTAATTCCCCATCCCACTCCCTCTACTGATTCTGGTCCCATGGTCGATTCTTATTATCTCAGAGACCAGCATTCACATTTTTTTTTTAAAACCTGATCTTATTTCCAACAAGCCCAAATTTCTCCTAGTGAATTTTACCTCCAGGTTAGATATTAGTTCTACTCATGATATTTACATATATAGAAGGCCTTTTAGTCTGATTGCTACATTAGACATAGGATTGTTTGCTGGTTTGGCCAATTCTTGCTGTGCAAACTGGGACAAGTCAGTTAACTTTACCTACCTTTAGTTTATACATTCACAAAAACAAAATTAAAAACTGAGAGTTTTGTGAGTTTTAGGTAAATTAAGGAATATAAAATTATTAATACAATATCTGAAAAATACAGTGCTCATTACTTGTGAGTTTCTTTGTTGTTTGCAAGTATAGGGAAGACTTACCACCTTTCAGATTTAGTCACGTGTCATTCACATTTTCTGTCTTCATGAACTATCATGTCCATAGGCGATTATAAACAGAATTCATATCTGCTATGCCTTGTTTCTTTTTTACATTTCAACATTAACTGATTACTTAAGTGCTAGGCTTCCTTCTTATGCAAAATATTAGGTAAAAGAGCTCATACTAAATGGAAAGGATAAGACACTTGATTTTTCTTTAAAGACTTAGAGAAACCAAATACTTTTGATTGTCAGTTTAGAGAATCCAGAATGACAGAAGCCTCAAGTGGGTTAAGAACTCTGAGATCATAGTTTCATGACCCAAATTTTCTAATATCTAGAAGGTTTAAGTACCTGTGTCCTCAGGAAACATGCTTTTCTTGGACCAGCTAAATTGGCTTATAATAAGGGTCTTTGCCCTTGTTCCAGTAGTATTTTCTCTTAATCTGTCTTCTGATTGAACTCCCCAGTGCTGTATAAACCCATATATGTGCACACTCTCTGATACTCCACACACTGCTGACAACTATGTTGGGAATTCCCATATACAGCACTTAAAAAATGTCACATTCAGTAAATGGTCATTTTACTCATAAACTGTATCATCTTATAATCTTATAACCAAATAAAATTTATAACTATAGCTCCCTAAGGACAGGAAATGAGTAGTGAATATATTTTATTCAAAGCCTATGTCAACTAACCAAAATACAATAATAATAAAATGGTTTAAAAACTTTTTTAAAGGATGCAGTATGTAAATTCTTATCTATTGAACAAGAAAGTAGGCCACTTTCTGGGTTAAGATAAAAAGAAAATAAAAATAAAAGAGAAAAGGAGAGATAAAACTTGAATAAGAAAATCTAAAAGGCATGGCATGCTAAATGCAATTTCAAACTAGAATTTTTTTCTGTAATAAGATTCATGTCAGTATAAATATTAACATAGTTGGTTGTGCAAATCACAACACTCAGGGAGCACTTGAAAGCATTTTAAAGTTTGATATCTACAGAAAAAATGCATGCATTTTCTATATCGGGATTTATTTTTTCTTAAGGAAAAAAATTGAATCAGAAAACTGACGCCTCTTCTTACAAATTAGATTTAGAAAACTGATCTCCAAGACCACCATTCTCCTACAATGTTAGAGGAGAGATTATTTTTATACCAGGTGTTATAATACATTACTAGGCACCTAATGTCAGAAAACCAACTGGGCATGTTCCTGTATATTTCATTCTATGGAAAAGAGAAGGATAGCTTCTGTAGTATTCCAGGGGACAGAACCAGAACCAATGTGTGGAAGCTATAGCAATGAAGATATGAGTTCAAGAAGAGAAACCATTTTCTAATAATTAATGCAATCCAGCAATGCTGTGAAGCTCACTGCTTGCCATTGCAAGGGAATCTAATAGCATCTGATAACCAGGCATCAAGTAGGTAGCTGATGTGACTTTACTGTGGTCGGAAATGGAAATAAATCGTCTTGGAGCCTTTCCTCTGTCAATCTTGCATGATTCTGAGTGTAGTATTGACTTATTGGGCCTACATTTGAATAAAACAGAGATAAAAAACTTAGGGAAAATAATAACTAATTGGGATTTGTGTCTTCTGTAGACACTACATCATCTGAGGGGAGATTCCATTCAGTAATGTTTTCAGCTCTTTGTGAACACAGAATTCTAAATGACAATAGTGTGTTAGAAGAGTTATCTAATGAAAGATCACTTAGAAAAGAAGAGAGTGTGGAAGGAGAGGTGGGTAAAGAGGGGAAAGGAAGTAAGGTATAGACACTCAGTTTCTTCTTAGGAATTCATAAATTACTCACATAACCAATACACAGGTACTGATTAGTTTTAGAAATAAATTGTTGAGTGTTAGATTGACTGCAAAAATACAAGAAAAATAGATTTTTTTCAAGAGGAGAAAGTTTAAAAATATGTCTCTGATATACAAGAGAAACTAAATGGTTTCCCTTTTTTTGCAAAATTTACATTAACAACCATTATCATATTTGTAATATTTGGAAGAAAATCAGTGCATGCTAGGTTTACTAAGAAGAAAAGGCTGTTCAGACATGGGGCGCTGAATGACGGTTTGTGTTCTAATGCTATGATAATAGAAGGTGGTGGGTTTACATAGCCGACCTGGGCACAGGAGTCAAGGAGCACTGTGGGATTACTCAGAGATTGCCAGACAAGTCACAGTGTGAGGAACTGGTTAGAAACAAAAAGAAACCAAGGTAGGGTTAGAAGAAGCAACTAAGAAAGGAAGAGAAGGGTGTGTGTGTGTGTGTGCGTGTGTGTGCGCACATGTGTGTGTTTCCTATGTAAATCTAAGATAGTGCCTTTGAGAATATTTTATTACTGCAGTCCTTTGTTTCTTTCACTCAGGAGCAGTAGATGCAAGTAAATAAATGTTGGCAAATTCACACTGATTTGCCTCCTCTATTTCTCTAGCTTTCCTTATCAATGCAAGAATCATCCTTTTAGTGGGAAAGAACATTCATTCATTCCTAAGGCAGAGCTTGAGGGTTTAATTGAGATTGCAGTATTCAGTGCAGCCTGCTGTTGTAACTGAACTGTCCACCTCACTAACAAGAGGTGATGTCAGTTATTCTGCTGAAACAGAAGTGCTGGGAACCTCTCATTGAATATTCCTTATGTCTGTAATATGCTTGGTATGGTACAGAAAATTCCTTAAGTAGCCCCAATCGATCTCTCTCTCTCACTCCTCATTCTCCTCTATGTAGCATATATGTTGTGACAGTCATCTGCCAAAATCTGGTCTTGTTCTATTCTGTATTAGCTACAGAGATTGTATCAGGCCAGCCATCATCACTATACAAAGCAATTCCAAAACTAATATGTGTTATGTGAGGTCAATTTGCTGGTGAGAAAATTTTGTTTACTGTAGAACGAATTTCATTTGTTTTTGTTCAGAGATGAAGCCCATTTGGGTGTTATAACTTGAGGGGTAATTCTGCTTTAATGATTTTTTAAGAGATACTCTTAAATTATCCAGTATAGCTAAAGAAAACATGAACAATAATAACATTTACAGATGATATTGAATGTCTGGAGGGCTTAGCTGCTGTGGGATTCTTATCAGAAGCAATTCTTAAGACAGACATTTTCTATTCTTCCCATTACTAAAGCTGCTTGTCTTGTCTCTAATGCTAAAATATGAACCACATGAGAAAGAAATTTTAGGCTAAATTGTCCAGGAAGGCTATCAATACCCAAATAACCAGATGAACATTTTTCAGAGAAACCAAGAGGAAGATCTAACAGAAAATAAATAACCTGAGATGGAAAATTAGACTCCATCTAATTTTCAGGCTATAAAATCTTGGCAAGTTATTTACCTTCCCTGTTTCAAAACCACAATTTCTAAATTGAAGAAATTGTGCTTAATAACCTCTAAATTTTTAATCTAGATTTACCTTTTTTTGCCAATTTGGGGATCCACCCACCAATTACAAAACAATTTTCAAAACAATTTACAAAACATAGAAGAGGAGTGTCATGGGGCTTTTAATTTTAGTTAACATTAAAGTAATTTTAAGTAAAGTTGTGACATTGTTTACCTCAAGACTACATCTAAATCAGAGTGGATCAATGGGCCTATGGTGCTCTGATTAAGAACAGAGAATATTTTCTGTTTTTTGTTTATCCTTTCTATTTTTTGCCCATATATGTGAAAAGGGATATCAGAAGAATGGAACATGTCTGTGAAGAGTGACTAAAATAAGATGTCAAGGAAGATTAGTGTTAGGTCATATAAAGAGTAATTGGAAACTGAAAACTTTTATCCTAGAGAAAATTTAATTATCCATGATGCAAAATATTTGAGAAATTATCATGTGAAAGAGGCATTAAACATATTTCATGTGATTTTAAGAGTAAAGTTTAATGGCAATAATTGGAAAGTAGAAGCAAGCAGACTTTGGCTTAATACATTGTCAGTGGATAGAGCCACCAACAAAATAAAGTTAGGTTGCTTTAGAAGACACTGGGATCACTGGATCTCACTGAATGTGCTTAAACAAGATTGAATGTTTGAATGGAAGAATATTGTATACAGATTTGACGAGATGGGAGGGAAGAGGACTCAATATTTGAAGTGTCTGAAAGTCTTAGATTCTATTTATCTATTGATATTTTAATATAATTTCTCAGGAAATGTTTGGATAAAGTAAACACAAGTAACTACCAGCAAATGTTTTTCTCTTGGCCCACTGTTACAGGGAGGAGATTTTTATTTTTATGTTGAAATGTGCTTTTTTTTCCCCAAGGAATTATCTGTTACCAAGTTTTAATGTGTGCGATACAGTGACATGTACACTCTTTTAAAATTCTCATTACCTTCTAAAATGTCTCTGATGTATCTTTCTAACTGTGCTGTGTTCTATTTGAGGGTTGCAAGTATGTCTAAATCTTTGTACAGCGCACATCAAATCTAGAAAATTAGGTTCTCAGTAAGTATTTGGTAATTCATTAAGTCTAGATCTAAAGGTTTTTTAGGATAGAAGTATAATATGTGATTCCCATATTTCCAGTAGAATGACCTATACAAGAAAATGGAAGATTCTAACTGAGATAAAAGCTAATCAATGATAACATTTATTTGGAAAAAAATTGTACAGTAAATATAATGATGATGAGAAAGACTAGAGTATGATGATACTGAAAGTCAATGCATATTCTCCCTCTTTAGAAATAGGAACATATTCAGGAAGCACATCAAGAAGACTCTGACACAATGCAGACTCAGCTTCACTGAGCAAAATTACACCTAGTTGAATATTATCATTTAAGCTTGTCTCTTTAATTGGTATTATGTAAGTAGGCAAGACTTTTTATAATGGTAAAGATGATCTAATTAGAGAGAAATAGACTAAGTCTAGAGTCAAGTTCATTGCTTGAGTCAGATGAGAAGGTCACTATTAGATTTCATTTCAGCAGCAGCATTTGAAAGGTGTGACATTAATGGTCCCCAAAATCCTCACACAAGCTTTTATATAATACAGACCTAGATGGGTATGAAGGACTTGGACCTTTACAGCTGCAATGGAAATAAGAAAAAGCTGGGCATATTTGTAGTTTACACATGATATGTGAGTTTGAAGGACATAAAACACAGCACCATCTTTCCCACATGAATTGAGAACCAATGCCAATCTTAGGAAAAGTGTGTGATGAGCATAATATTCCTTATAGCTGATAAGGCTCATAATAATAGCTCAAACATATTAAATGCTTCCACAGTCTAGGGATTGTTCCAAGTGACTTACATATATTAACTCATTTCATCCTCAAAGAGCCCAATGAGGTAGGTAATATTATTATCCCATTTTTCATATAGGGAAAACTGAAGCAAGATGACATTAACTGATTTAACCAAGGTCCCACTGCTAGTAAGTGGCATAGCTCAGACCTGAACATTGGCAGTCTGTCCCTATGCTTCTTACTCTTCAACACTATACTTCATTGCTTTTCTAGTTGATTTTGGAGCTTGTGCCACCGCCTGTGGGCAGGTGCTAATAAGAGTCCTCATTACAGACAGTCTTATCCCTCTCTCAACAATAGCTCTGGACTGGGGCAGAACTCACACACAGAGACACAATCTTACCCTCGCCAAAGTTCAGCATGGAGAAGCAGAGCCAAATGTATAAATTCTGTGGACAGCTTACTCTCAAGAGGAAGGAAGAGGAAGAAGGTGGGCCACATATGCTCATTTCCTTTCTACAGTTCTACCAGTCAGACCAATTGTCTTTTCCTCCTGATGGAATGAGTGAAAAGATAAAAGGAAGTGTATTACATCACCGGTGACACCTCTATGAGAGAGAAAACATCATGAGTGGAGAATTGTCTCTGCTCCCTCACTCTCTGCCACCATCTCCCCATCTTCTTGTTTTCTTAAATTGGGCTATGCCTATGGTCAACTAGGAATATGCGATGGAGTGGGGGAGTCAGCAGCCTCAGACAAGACTTGTTCCATCTTCATGGAGAACTAATCACTGCAACTTAGAATGTCCTCCTGGAACCACTGATAAAGATTTGATATTTTGGTGCAGAGGCTTCTGAAATAGGTTTGGAGAGCCCCATATCAATGAGTTCTGGGTCTACCAAAACAGTAACTATTCAAAAAGTCTCCTTTTAGAATAGAATATTCCCACCCAGGGGAGTTCCTCCCATATTCCAGTATTTACAGGACAATTTAATCTACTATCATCCTTATCCTTCTTGGCTTGTCTTTAATATGCTTTATCTTTGCTGTTTGTCCCTCGGTGTCTTAAGTCCAAAAATTCCATGGAGAGGGATCCTCAGGCAGAGGTATAGCTCGACAACTGCCTTCTTGAATTTAAATAAAGAATGTAATTTTGAACAACTGACCTACTGCCCTAGACCTGTGCAATTCATCAAGTTAAAACTAGAACCTCAGCAACTGATCTCTTTCCAAATAGCTATACAGTTGTACAGGTTCCATTTATTAATAATTCCATCTTCAAATTAATCTGATTTGAAATGCCACTTTTATCATATGTTATATGTTGCTACATACTTCAATCTGCTTGGGATTTTCTATTTTGTTGCATTTGTTCATTTGTTCATGTACTTACATCACATGGTTTTAGGATAGGGTAGGATATTTTACATTTGGTCCAGGCATGTCTCCTTAATTACTCCTTCTTTGACAGGGTTTTCTTAAAAACTCTTGCTTATTTATTTTTCCACATGAATCTTAACATCAAGTTACCATATTCAGAATAAAAAATTCTTGTGGATATTGTATTAGGATTGTGATAAATTTATACTTTTACTGTGGGAGAATTGACATTTTTATGATGCTGAATTTTCTTACCCAAAAATAAAGTTCTTTCTACTTGAGTTCAAGACTGCTTTTGCATGCAACTTCCAAAAGTTTTTTAAGTGTTTTTTACAAGTAAGTTTTGTGCCTTTCTTGTTAAACTTATTTCTAAATATTTTGTCTTTTCTTGTTTTGTAAATAGAATCATCTCTTGTATTATATTTCTCTACTAGTTATTGCTTATATATACAAATAACATTGATTTTTATATATTCATTTTATTTCCTTTTACATGACTAAAATTCCTTACCATTTGCATTCCCTTCAGCATTAAACTTCTTGGGCTTTTCATACATAAAATGTTACCATCTTCAATAAGATATTTTTAAAAACTTTTCCTTTTCAATTTTAATGCCTCTGATTTCCTTTTATTTGATTGCAATATCTGCCATCTTCAATGCAATCTTAAAAAAATAGTAGGGATAGTGGCATTCTTACTGTGATGGTTAATTTTCAGTGTCAATTTGATGGGATTGAGAAGTATCTCCATAGATGGTAAAGCATTTGATATGGTTTGGATCTGTGTCCCTGCCCAAATCTTGTGCTGAAATGGAATCCCCAGTGTGGGAGGTGGGGCCTCATGGGAGGTGATTGGATCATGGGGGCAGTTTTCTCATAAATGGTTTAGTACCATCCTCCTGGGTACTGTATAGAGAGTGAGTTCTGGAGAGATCTGATTGTTTAGCAGTTCATAGAACTTAACCCTGCCTCTCTCTCACTCCTGCTCCTGCTTTGCCTTCCGCATTGAGTAAAAGCTCCCTGAGGACTCCTCAGAAGCAGATGCTTCCATGCTTCCTGTATAGCCTGTGGAACCATGAGCCAATTAAACCTCTTTTGTTTATAAAGTACCCATTCTCAAGTATTTCTGTATAGCAAGGTGAGAATGAACTAATATAGTATTCTTTCTTAGTGGGTGTGTGCGAGGATGTTTGTGGAGAAGACAGGCCTGTGGGTTGGTGGACTGAACAGAGAAGACCCCCCTCCACATGGGTGGGCACCATGCAGTTGGTTGGGGAGCTGGAGAAAAAAAGATGAATTCACTCTCTCTCTTGTAGAGATGGGACATCCTTTCTCCTCTGCCCTTGGACATCAGAATGCTAGGTTCTTTGGCCTTTGGACTCTGGGGCTTGTACCAGTGCCCTCTCCACACAGGGCCCTCCCTAACCCCTCTGGGATCTCAGGACTCTTGACTTCAGACTGAAAATTATAGCATTGGTTTCCTGGTTCTATGCCTTTCAGACTTGGACTAAGCCAAGCTACTAGCATCCCTGGATCTCCAGCTTGCGGACAACCTATTGTGGGAATCCTCAGCCCCCATAATTATGTGAGCCAATTTCCGTAATGAATTATTTCTTGTCTATGTATATATATATATATATATATATATATATATATATGTATATGTATATATGTATATATATATGCATGCATGCATGCATGTATGTATTTATGTATGCATGTATCTATGTATCTATCTATGTATCTATGTATCTATCTATCTATCTATCTATCTATCTATCTATCTATCTATCTATCTATCTATCTTATTGGTTTGGTCTCCCTGGAGAATCCTAATATACTCACCTTGTTCCTGACTTTGACAGGCCTCTATTATTTCTCTATTAAGGACACCAGCTTTTAGAATTAGGGCATGTATGTTTTATCATCTTAAGAAAATACCAAATAATTACTTATTTAATAATTTCCTGTGAATCAGAAATAGATGTTGAGTAGTGCAGAAGACTTCTTCATCATATACACAAATAAAATGTTTTAGTCTATTTTATACTTATTAATATAAAAAGTTATATCAATGGATTTCCTAAAATTGAGCTATCCTTGTATTTTTGAAATCTCATCTGGTCATGATATATTATTTTTTATATGTTATTTAATTCCATTCAGCAATATTTGTACCAGTATTCATAAGTGAGATTGGTAAGAGATTGTTTTGTTGCAGTCTTTATCAGATTTTTTTAAAAGTAAGCTTATTTATTTGTTTTATTTTATGGAATACTTAAAGAGTATTGGGGTTATCTGGTCAATGAAATTTTGATAGATTTCTCTGGTGAAATAAAACAAGGCCTGGTGATTCTTTTGAACAGTTCTTTGGAGCTTTTTCTATTTATTTTTCTCTTGTAATTGGTGGCTTTAAACATTTGACATCTACTGGGGACAATTTTTGTAAATTCTATTTCCCTAAAAAATTATCCATTTTAACCTACATAAGTAGGTTAAATTAAATAATTAACCTACATTGGTAGGTTTTCAAATTCCTTTGCCTAGAGTTATGCCAACAATTGTAATAATTTTCTGTCTTCAGTTTTGTTTATGTTGTGCATAATTGTTCATTCTTTTTTCCTCTTTTGAAAATTAGGTTAACTAGTGTTTGACAATGATTTGTCATAATTTCCTTCTTTTGTTTTTCAATGTTTATTTCTTATAATTTTCTTCTGAGTTTTTGATATAGTTAAAATTTTCTAGTTATTCAAACAACTTTTTGTTTTCATTTGTTTCCATTATTTAATTTTATTGATATAAATATTTATTGTTTGGGCTATCTTTTCATCACTAATTTGACCATATCTCACAAATTTTGATATATAGTAATCCTATTATTGTTAGTATTAATTTTTAAAGAAACTCTGACATTTTGATATATAATTCCCTTGCAACCCAAGAGTTATACAAAAGGGTTAATATTTTCAAAATGAAATGGTTTTTAAAATTTTTTCAATTTCTGTTATTGAAAATGTAGTTTATATTATTTCCACTTTATGAAAGTTACAAAGGCTTTCATAAAGACCCAATGGGTCAATTTTGATTATATTTTATTTGCTTGAGTAGAAAATATATGTTCTGCTAGGAGGAGGTAATTGGTATATATTCATGAGGTCTATTACTTTTATTATGTAGTGTAGGTCTTCTATATTCTTACCTATTTTTTGTTCACTTAAACCATCTTAAACCAAGATTTATATATTTTCTCCTATTATCAGTGTGATGTTGTCAATTTCTCCCTGCCTATCCTATATTGTATGCTTTATGAAGCTCTTTGATTTGATATTTGATGCATAGATTTTCATACCTGTTATATCGTTATTGTGAGCAATGCTCTTCGACATCCACAAAATGTCCTTCTTTCTCCTTTAATATTTTTGTGGCTGAATTATATTTTGTCAATGATCAAGATTGTAGTATATGGTGTTTTTTTTTTTTTTTTTTTTTTTTTGAGACGGTATCTCACTCTGTTGCCCAGGCTGGAGTGCAGTGGCACAATCTCAGCTCGCTGCAGGCTCTGTCCCCCGGGTTCAAGCAATTATCCTGCTTCAGCCTATGGAGTAGCTGGGATTACAGGCAGGCCCCACCATGTCCGGCTAGTTTTGTATTTTTAATAGAGACAGGGTTTCCCCATGTTGGCCAGGCTGGTCTCCAACTCCTGAGCTCAGGTAATCCACCCGCCTCAGCCTCCCAAAGTGCTGGGATTACCGGCGTGAGCCACCACACCTGGCAGTAGTGTTTGCTTTTTATGTTTGCATTTACCTTGTCTACTTTGCCTATCTTTTATTTTCAGACTTTCCGAATCTCTTCGGTTTACATATGTTTTACATTAGGTGTTCCTTGTGAATATATCTTATAATGTTGTTCTACCTATGGGTTACAAAATATTATTTGCATTTATTAATAAAATTGATATTTTTATCTTAGCTCTCGATTATTTTTTATTTTATGGTATTGTATATATTATATTATAATAAATGCTTTTATTCTACAGGCTTTTATTTGGATATTTAATAAAGTTAGTATATTCATTATAGTAGACATCATATTAGTAATACCTTTATAAAAAGCTCTTTGTTGATTTCTCCTTATTTACACTTCCACTATTTGGTTTTTCAGCTTTAAATGGTAACATTTGACTTATTACCTATGGCGTCTCAATAACCTTATTTTACTTTCTATACATTTCTCTCCCCTTTGTTTTATTTTTCATTTTGAAGAACATTTTATTTATACATGAGATATTTTTCTTCCCCTAAAGGTTCTGGGATTTTTTTTTCTTATTCTTTTAAGTGAAACAAATTTGCTTGAAATATTTTACAGTTAATTCCTCTCAGGTGACAAGGAAATATTATGCAGAATTAGGCATTCTATTATCTAAAAGTATTTTCTTGATTTGTGTGTACCGTTAAATCTATTCAGAATATTTTAGTGACTCCTTTAATACACGTTATAATATTTTATTCTGTGTGTCAGATCTATACTTTTCTCTTATTTTGTTTTATTATTATTATTATTTTTGCTCTTTTCTTTAGTTCTTCTTCCTGCTTGGTCCCAGTGATTGTCTCTTCTGTGTACTTTACATATTTGCAATTATGTCTATTTTCTCTTGAATGCCTTGTCATTTAAATTCTTATCTTTGAGTTTATTTTGTCTTCTGCTTCAATTTTTTTCTCCTGTTTTCTCCTTATGCCTGTTCATTTCTAGTTGTAGTGTTTAAATTTTTTATTTATATTGTTTTTCATATATCTTTTATATTGCTTGTTTAACTGCATTTAATTAATATTGGAGTGCTATGCTTCAGCTCTCTTCTTTTTTGAGAGGAACTTTTAGTAATCATTATCTCTTTTCTTGTTGTAGTAGCTTTCTAGGGATACTGTGTCTTTTTTTCGGTTCATATAATATATATCGACTAATAGGAGCTATAGACTTTCATAGCTATCTTGACATTATTTTAATCATCACAATTATCAGCAATTCCACAATGGGAAGAAGGATTTGGGTACCAAATTTGGTTTCTAGGCTCAAGAGTGCTTTCTTCAATTGGCATAGTAAAGTGCACTTAGTTTTAAAAATGGCAATGTTGGGGGAAAGTGTTCTTACTTTCTAATTATTAATTTTAATCCTATTTTAATCAGCTATCTTTTTTTTTTAAGCAGCTTCCTTCATTCTCTTCATCACCATGTCTCCAAAGGACATTACAGCTTTTTAGATGTCCTATTCTACCAAGAATGATGCCTTATTCAACTGTCACCTGTCATTCTAGGTACTTCCTAAACATTTCTTTTAAATGTCTTGGATCCAATGCCCTGCTCTCCCTACTGTCTGTCACACCTGCTTTTATTATTTTTTTTTTTACTAGCATATACTCCCTACTTTTGCAGGTGCAAACTAGATAATATTTACTGTGTTCTCCCAACACTAAGATGCTGACAGCCTCTCTATTGTTTTAAGGGCTCCAGAGATAATCCTGTTCATCTCAGGTGTTTATTTTCCAAATGACCTATAAATCTGAAGTTGATACTATCTTCAGTCGCTCACTTCTGCAATAGATAATTTAAGCTGATTATCTGCAAGGTTTGTAGAAGATGTTTGAAAGGATTAGAATTTATGTGGACATCATTGTCCTATGGAAATCAAGAATTATCAGGATCACAATATTTTACTCGATATTTATTGCAGTAAATAGAAAATAATAGAGTAAAACAGCTTTTGAATTTTCAGCAAACTAAAAGTGTGTATGGATTCAAAGAAAAAAATGATGATAGAATTCACATTGAAATATATTCCTTACAAGAAAGAAAAAAGAATTCAATGTAATATCAGATTTAAAACCTGTGTGAATATTACTAAAGCACAGAGGTCACCAGGAAAAAATCAAGTAAGGATTTAATACAGTCCTAGTAAATTTTCTCACAACAAATATAAAGTCAAATTATAGAATGGATAACACTATTTGCAAATATATATGAAAAAATCCTTGTAACTAGAATATGTTTTAGAAGTTACAAAAAACACAGAAACAAGCAAATCAACCTAATTATAAAATGGGCAAAAAATAAAAACAGACATTTACTTCAGCAAAGAGGAAATATGGATAGAAAATAAAGCAAATGAAAATATGTTCTATATTATTAGCCATTAGGGAAATTTAAATTAAAACCATAATGACACATGACTCCAAATCTCTCAGGACAGCTACAAAAAAAAAAAAAAGTGGCAATACTAAATACTAGCAAGGATGCAGAGAAACTTGATCTCCCAAATATTGCTGAGTGTTCAGTAAAAAGCACCAATCTGAAAAGGTTACATACTATATTACTCCCTTTCTAGAACACTCTCAATGATGAATAAAATGGTAATGATGAAGATCAGATAGTGGTTACCAGGAGTTAGGGATGGCAGGGGGTGGGGTGGGGCTGACTGCCACCGTAAACAGATAGCTGGAGGGAGTCCTTTTGTGATGAAAGAACAGTTTTGCATGTTGATTGTGCTGGTTTCAAAAATGTACACAGGTGACCAAATTGCATAGTACTACACACATGCACACAAGCACACGCTCACATGAGTACATGTAAAAGCACGAGTGAAGTACACGTGGAGTCTGAACAGTTTCTGTAGATTGTACCAATGTCAGCTTTCTGGTTTTGATATTGCACAGTATTTATGCAGGATGACCACCGGGGAATACTGGGTGAGGATACATGGGACCCATGCTGAACTACTTTTAAAACTCCTTGTGCATGTATAATTATTTCAAATTTAAAAATTTAAAAACCCATAATTAACACACAAAATTAATTATGAATTAAAAATAATATAAGAATAGAATTTTTTAGCATTTAATTCACTAAAGGAAACTAGTGAAACATCTGCCTATCCAGAAATTGTTTCAATAACAGGAAGAACAGTTGGAAAAAGTTATGCTCAGTTTTCTCTCACGTTTCGTTCACATTTCAAAAATCTCTTTAAAATTGAAGTTATAAGTAAAATTGGCAATTAAAATTGGAATCAGAAAATTACAATGTTTATCTCCTTTGGGACCTAGGGTAGTATTGACATGGATTTTAACTATATACATTCTATGTAAAATGTTCTCTGGGGGTTTTTCTCTCCAGGTTGGGGAATGGATGTCCAAGGTTCAGCCCTTTCATATGGCTATTTATAGTGACATATTTACTGTCAAAATACTGTGACTCAGGAAATTTTAACAACACTGTTATTTAATTCCCTCCCCCATTTTCATTAAATATTCTCTCTCTGTCTCTCTCTCTCTCTCTCATCCTCAAGATTTCATCGTGACTTTCACTGTTATCCTCAGATTTTATTGGAATTGTTGCTGTGTGTGTTTAATTACATAATAACAGGGCTATTTTTTAAGGAGAGTCTGAATTAGCAGCATTGTTTGAGACAAAACTTTTGCACAATCAGCACATCTCTGGTAGTAGTGCTGGGATTTTGAGTTTAACCTTTGAGATGTTTTAAAATGGCAGCTGTGTACCAACTGCTATGTCTGGCAAAAAAAAAGAAATAAAAAGCATTGATCTCTAAAAACTTAACATTACTTTCCACCTACGCATCCCAGAAGTGAATTGGCATCAGAAGGGGAAAAACATATTTTGTTAATTATATTTTTCTTCCAGGATCTTTTAAGCCAACCCAGAAGAAGAAAAACTTGAGTGATTTGCTTCTTTTACCTATAAAAAGGAAATTTTGAATAACGACAATAATAGTAACAACCAGAATCTGAGTATCTGTATGGTAAAGTCTGGTGCTTAGCTTTGTGGATAATCTAATAGTTTAAAAAGTCATGTTCATTTCCCCCAGGAGTACATCTGTATTACACAGAGCAAGTCTGCCTTGGAGCAGATGGGGACAGTGCCCATGGCTGGCTGATGGTTGATTTAAATATCCCAAACATTCACACAGGACCATTGGTTTGATAATTGCACACTATTTTGGCAGTGACATACTCAGTGGTATAAGATGTAGAGGTGGAACATAGTGACACTGATGATCCTGACCCTGTGTAAGCCTAGGTTAATGTGTGTGTTTGTGTCCTAGTTTTTAACAAAAACGTTTAAAAAGTGAAAGATAATTTTAATATGACAAATCTTATAGAATAAGGATATCAAGAAAGAAATTACATTTGTACAGCTGTACAGCATGTTTGTGTTTTAAGCTATATGTTATCACAAAAGAATCAAAAGCTAAAAAGATTAAAAAGTTTATAAAGTAAAATATTACAGTAAGTTAAACTTAATTTATTACTGAAAAAAGAAAAAGCATTTTAATATATTTAGTGTAGCCTAAGTGTACAGTGCTCATAAAGTCTGCAGTACTGTGCAGTAATGTCCTGGGCTTTCACATTCACTCACCACTCACTCACTGGTTCACCCAGGGCAATATCCATTCCTCCAAGCTCCATTCATGGTCAGTACCCTATACAGGTGTAACACTTTTTTAATGGTGTATTTTTACTATATCTTTTGTATGTTTACATGCACAAATAGTTACCATTGTGTTACAGTTGACTACAGTGTTAAGTACAGTAACATGCAGTACAGGTTTTGTTTGTTTGTTTTTGATGGAGTTTTGCTCTTGTTGCCCAGGCTGGAGTGAAATGGCATGATCTCGGCTCACTGCAACCTCCGCCTCCCGGGTTCAAGTGATTCTCCTGCCTCAGCCTCCTGAGTAGCTGTGATTACAGGCATGCACTACCATGCCCAGCTAATTTTTTGTATTTTTAGTAGAGATGGGGATTCTCCATGGTGGTCAGGCTTGTCTCGAACTCCCGACCTCAGATGATCCACTCTCCTCGGCCTCCCAAAGTGCTGAGATTACAGGCATGAGCCACGGTGCTCAGTCACAGTACAGGTTTATAGCCTAGGAGCAATAGGCTGGACGATACAGCCCAGGTGTGTAGTAAGTTATACCATTTAGGTTTGTGTAAATATACTCTATGATGTTTGAACAATGATAAAATCACCTAAGGATGAGTTTCTCAGAACATCACCCTTTAGTTCAGTGAAACATTACTGCATATTTATGACATTATATATTTTATATACACATATATACATTTTATATACACACATAAAATGTGTGTGTGTATATATATCCATATATATGTAGTGTGTGTATATATATATAGCCATATAGATGGGGTTAAGTTGAGTTATATTCTCTTGGGTATTTAATGTGAGAAAGAACAAATCGAATTGGTTACCTGAAGCTCACTCATCCACCATTCACTAATGTAAACTGAGTTTACAGTCAGCTCATCCATTCTATCCCCAAAAATGAGAAAGAGAGAGAAACTGGAGAAACCGACTTTCTCTTTTCCGACTGTTAGCTTAGGTTGGTGGATGAAAAAAAATCCTTATTGAAAGTTATATATCTGGAGCCAGAAAAACAATGAATAGGAAAATGAATATTTTATATTTCACCTGCTGAGAACTCAAATCCCAAATGGCATAGCATACTTAAATACAGTTATTATGGCCATATATTGTTTGGTCTGCAGCAATATAGCATTTATTAAAAGTGCTCAGTTGTTAGTGTTCAAGCTCATGTTGAAATATGCATGTGTGTAACTATATCTGTATATGTGTGTGTGTATATATACACACACACGGACATACACATAAATATACGTGTGTGTTACCATATCTGTGTATATGCGTGTGTGTATATATATATGGATATATATGGATATATATGTGTATATATATATGGATATATATATGTGTGTATATATATGGATATATATGTGTATATATATGGCTATATATGTGTGGGTATATATATGGCTATATATATATGTGTATATATATATGGCTATATATATACACATACACATAGATACACACATAAATTCAAGGGCATTTTCTTTGTACAAAGCTTGTTTTAGGAGAACTGTCAGTTTATGATGAGCTTAAAAGCTCTGTGCTATATATTGTTTTCTAAGCCACTGCTGGACACTGAGTTGATTTCAGCAAGGAGTCATTTCCAGCTGTGGCAAGCTGTGTACTGAATCTCCTAGTACCCAGGCATGGCTCGTGATAGAACAGTTTGTCCTGCCCAAAGAGAAAAATATCTTCCAACCAGCACTCTTGGCTATAGGATTTTTAAATCAGGAGTGAATCAGACTAGTTTAAATTCATTTGGACACATTTTCTACAATATAACAGGAAGAGATTTTTTTCCCCAGCTAATAAATCTACTCATGTGCAGAAACTTTGTGTTCCAGCCTAACAAGGTTTATGGTCTTCAGAGCACTCCATATATACTTTTGCCTTTTCTTTGCTTAAGATGGTCCCTCTAACATGAAATGTTCTCTTTCTCTCCTATTGCTTTGCCCATCCAGTAATAAGCAGAAGTTTTTTCTTTTCCCAAAGAACGAAGAATTACTTGCCAAAGAGTATGTTGCTCTGTTCTAAAACCCTGCAAGTTTGGGCTGTGGTTCTCCCATGAGTGATTGCCACAGACTTCATGTAGCATCCCCATTTGATATCATTTAAGTTGTATTCCATGTACTGGTCAACTCATAGAGCAGCTTGCCCTGCAGCTCAATTAAGAGCCCTACTCAAAGCTAGAGCAAGGGACCCATCTAAAATTGGTAGCTCTACAATTTACTTGGCAAGGGGATCAATGTGATGTATTTGCCTTCAATGTCAAAAGAATTGCCCCATGAGTATTGTTCTCTTTCGTGGTGGTAAATATAATAAAGTATAGCAGCTTTTCTTTCACTATGATGAGTGCTTTGCCAAAATGCTATTAGCCACCAATTTCTTCCATCCCCAATAATGCTACTAGCATGGCAGAATCCCACATATTTAGAGAGTTTATCTCCCACCTTCTATCAAACATAAAGGTATATGTTTATTCCTGATCATTGGCTTGCTGACGTCAATATAGTAGGCCAGTGAAATGTCTGTGAGATGGTAAGATAATCTAAATTCCTATAGATTAAATCATCCGAGAGAACCAGCACATTTACATAGTCTTGAAATAAGACCAAATATTATTCTCTGTCTTGTGAATAAAAACTGATTCTAGTGTTGTCTGACAGTTGGACAGATAGCGGTGGTGGTGGGGGGTGGAGACATACAATATCTGCATCCCAGAAGTAGGGCATGTGTGGTTACCTCTAATAAAAAGACAACAAATAGAACAGCAGCTGCAATTTGTTCACAACCTGATAAAATTTGTGAAATCTGCTGTCATTTTCCAATACCTCTCTATCTTCAATATAATCCAAAAAGGAGACTTAGCAGGTTTGTGATAAGAATCATAGAGTTGAATCTTTCAACTATTGGGTGATGGCACTAATCTTTGTTATTTCACTAGGAATGTGGTATTGATTTCTGCATGCTGTTTTGGTGTTACATTATTTCTAGGGGTTTCTACTTGCCCCTTCCTACCATATTATCACTTCTTTCATGGTTCAGGAGCTAGTGTGGGAACCCTGACATTAGCTTATTTCAACTGTGCATTCAGCAAACAAAGAAATTACAGGAGCCTGTTTTCTCAGATTCCTTGGACCTACAGTTAATTTAACTGGGGATATTAAGTTATTTATCACCTGAACCCCACAACCTTAACTCCGATAAGTGGACCAGCATGATGTTCTTAATCCACAGAGATTAGTATTTGCTCACAGCTGCAAAAGGTTGAAAATAGGCTTTTCTTCTATGTGCAGATTTCCTAGTAAATGTTTACAGATCCCTTTGGAGATGGCTATAGGAAAGATTTGGAGTCATGATTTCTGTGCTATCACGTGATTGTTGCTGAATGTTTCACAGGCCTTCCTTCAAGGAAAATACTCTCATTCCGTGAACTAATTCAAATCCAGGGACTGAGTTCCTTAAATGAAACCTATGCTCACCAGAGCTCTGGTGGTAAAGAAGAGCTGCCATGTAGCTTCTGGCAGTTTGGGATCTGTTCATGTCCACCAAAGTCAGGGCACACCATCAAGTGGAGCAACTCGTAATTTTCTCCTTCGTTTCTAGAGGAGAGCCACCATAGTTTTATTTATGTTTAAGAAGCTGGTCCTCTCTTCACCAATGTACTTCTTTAGTGTTAGTGAAGGGAGTATGCTCTGAATACTCCAAGATTCAGGCTGAATGTTGGAGGGTCATATATGATAAACACAACTTGATTTCTCTCTAAATATTTAGATTCCTTTCTTTATGTTATACACAGACATTTCTGACACCTCAACTTCATTTAGCACAGTCCATCCTTGAGTCTAGATTTCAGTCCACCAGCTGAGTAGCTGTTATAACCACTGTCAGATACATAAATTACTTCTTTGAACATAGAATCACTGAAAAAATTTTCCTAACCTTGGTTCAATATAAAATTGTTTCTTCTACTATGCTACAAGAACAACAAAATCAATTTCCACACATATTTCTCACGTTTCTGCTGATACAAATGAGCAGATTCTTGCACATTTTTGGTGCATAACTGTCCTTGAAGGTCAAACTTTATTCTTGTCCCCCACGAAGTGTGCTGAGCTGTGCATCTGAGAGATGGTAACAGAGGTGAGGCATTCAGATAAATGGCTTCTCTTTACCAGTAACTTTTCAGGTGCGGTCACTTTAGGGTTTAAGCCGGGCAGGGCAGGCCTCACTGGAAAAGAAGTGGAGCTGCTCTTGACAGCAATGACGTTTTGGCAAGGTTTCAGAATGGGGGCACTCCAAATGAGACAAACCTCTTTGAAAGTCCTTAGGCAAATTCTTGGAATCTAATTCTTTCACCAACATTACCCAATTTTCACTTAGAAAAACTGGCTAGTCTGTACATTCAAATGTGTTGTGACTCAACAGCACTCCGAATCTGACTGTTCTTGATTTAAATACGTTTCCCTGAGGTGCAAAAAGGCAAAACATTTGTTAAAGTCAGTCATAGAAGCTTCCTCTAACATCCTAGCCTTGACTTCAGTTACATATTTAAAACCATGAGCTTACCATTTCCTTTCTTTAAAGTCTCCATCACAGTCAACATTTTCTCATTTTTATTTTGTGCAATAATGATTCACAGAGGCAGACGGCCATTTGCCCACTAAATCTTTGCCTTCAATCAGCCTATGTATAATTAAATATAATGTCTGCCACTGGTCCAGTAGATCACCATGCTCAGAACATCAACTTTGCATTTGCACCTACCTTTTTTGGATAACCAAAATCAAATTCTCATTTCCTTTAATCTCCTACCTTCAACTCCTGCTGATTTTAATTACAGCAGTCCCTCCTTATTCATGGGAAATATGTTCCAAGACTCCAGTGTATTCCTGAAACCTCAGATAGAACCAAACCTTATATACACTATTTTTTCCTATATACACAAACCTATGATAAAGTTTAATTTAATTAATATTAAGTTAATATGGTGCAACATGTTGCTGTCAATCAGAACACGTCTTCTCTTTTATCTTCCACCCACAAATGTAATGCCTTTTTCCACCTTAACTAAAAATTTATCACACAGTGGCCATATCTTTTGCAGTTTGGGGTGCAACAGTAAAACTAGCACACATTTCTTTTTCCTTCTTTACAATTGCACCAATAGAAGATTTGTTATTACCATAGACTTTAGCAACCTCAGGGCAATTATTTTTCTTTTCTTACTAAGTGGACAACTTTCATCTTTTCACTTAAAAGAAACACTACACTGCTTCTCTCACAGGCCAGGCCTGAATCTCCAGCATCACTACTCTTGTGTTTTGGGGTCATTACGAAGTAAAATAAGGGTGACTTGAGCAGAAGCACTGTGATGCTGTGACGATCAGTCTGATAACTACTTAGATGCCTACTAAGTGACTAGGGCAGAGAGCATCTATAGCATAGACATACTGGACAAAGGAAGGATTCACGTTCCAAGCAGGACAGGGTGGAATGGTGAGAGATTTTACCACGCTAGTCAGAAGTGCACACCATTGAAAGTGTATGAGTGGTTTATTTCTAGAATTTTCTATTTAATATTTTGAGACCCCGTCGACTGGATAACTGAAACCATGGAAAGTGAAACCATGGATAAGTGTTAATTAGGGTTCAGTTTTAGAAAACAGAAGCCACTCTAGTTTGAGCAATGCAAATTTTCTTATAATTTATGAAGTGGCTTCTAGAATTGTTGGTAGTTCTGAAGAAGCAGATTGTGATTGAAAGTTCAGGAGTGACACCAAAAACCACACTGCAGAACCAGGCCACTGATTCATACTACTGTTGCCACTATAAGGAAGCTATTAATATCAAGGAAATGCTCTGATCAGGAAGTGATTACAACCACAAAACCTACCAGAAAATGAATAGACCATGCTGCACTTTTTATAACTTGTGCCTGCATATATTATACACTTCACCTTCCCTTTGGTATCTATTGGAAGCTAGTGACTACATGATACCAACATCTGTGCTAACACAAACAAAACACTGGTAAACGCTGACAGCCCACCAGCAGGCTCACAAGCAGCAAAAATGACATCTGTGCTTCACTTCCACCCTCTAAAACTGAAGGAGGATTTTTGCTTTCTTTTCTTATGTTAAGAAATGCACAAAAATACAGTTGGGTTCCAATTCACCATCTTCACCACTTCAAGGATACGTTAACTAGTCTGATTTAATTATTCCACATGGTAAACATGTATCAAGACATCACATTGTACCCTGTAACTATATGTAATTATTATTTGCCAATTAAAAGATTTTTTAAAAATCTTTAAAAAGAAGAGCAGATGTCAACATTGGAAATACTTTCAGTTCTTCAGTGATTTCTGGTACCAGGTATTACAAATGAATAAACTTAATTTCTACATGCCTTGCATTTCTTTTACGTAAAATAGTAATAGAATTATCAAACTCATAAAGACTTTGTGAAAAGTCAATGAGATGATACTGAGTGTCTTGCTTGGGCCATAATGGGTGGGTAAAAATAAAATTGTCAAAGAAGAGCTGAATCATTGCTTCTTCTCATCGAGATACTGCAGTGTTTTCCCCTCCTCCCACTCCTTAAATGCACCAAACACAATCTTAACACATAATCCCCTCTAAATATCTAAATTTTAGTGGCCAGTCATGGTGGCTCATGACTGTAATATCAGTACTTCATGAGGCTGAGAAGGGAGGATCACTTGGGGCTAGGAATTCGAGAACAGCCTGGGCAACATAGTGAGAGCTCATCTCTACCAAAAAGAAGTCATGCTAGCTAATATTCCAAACATATTCCTTGATTAGACACTGTATCAGATAATGAGTTAATCAGTACCAAAATGGAATCATTGGCCTTCTTTACTCTCCATTCCCTGAGGCAACTGATCTGATGTTCAACACCATGTACCAGGAGCAAAGAGTAGTTACTGGTGGTGCCCATTTTGACTGATCAATTCGTTTACAATGTACATTGTTAAATATTTTGAATGAATCTCAGGAGTAAAGGTAGATATCAGAAAGAAGTAAAAATGAGCATCCAGAAAAGAAACAAGTGAGGGAGCAAAGTGAGCAAGATATCAAGAGGTGCCTGAGGATACACAGGCATCATCCAACTCCTGATGAAATTTCTCCCACACATAGAAATCACCTTAATGCAAAATAAAAGTATTTTATTTGAAGTTTAAAGTGACTTCTTATATTGCTTTATAGTTTACTAAGCATTTTCCATGTGCTATGGTGCTCAGCCTTCACAGCCACTCTCTGAACTATGAAGCAGGAGTTCGCACTTGTTGGAACAGCATCCTCTGCCCCTGCCTGCCCTTTATGCTAGACATACAACTTATTCTTTAAATTTTCATGGTTTTTTTTTTTTTTTTTGACAGAGTCTTGCTCTGTGCCCAGGCTGGAGTGTGGTGGCGCGATCTTGGCTCACTGCAAGATCAGCCTCCCGGGTTCACGCCATTCTCCTGCCTCAGCCTCTTGGAGTAGCTGGGACTACAGGTGCCCACTACCACGCCTGGCTAATTTTTTTTTGTAATTTTAGTAGCGATGAGGTTTCACCGTGGTCTCGATCTCCTGACCTCGTGATCCGCTTGCCTCGGCTTCCCAAAGTGCTAGGATTACAAGCGTGAGCCACTGCTCCCAGGCAAATTTTCTTTTTTTAAGTACTGGACCTGATGTAGGAGACTGGTAGGAGGACTTGTTTTCTGGTCAGAACCCTGCTGACCAAAACAAGACCTGGTTCAGACAGGATAAACTGAAAAAACCAGCAGGAATCAGCAGATGGTGACTAAGGTGACCCCTAGCTGTCTTCATTGTTCATTGGCATAAGACACTTCCACCAGCACCATGACAGTTGACACGTGCCCTGGAAATGACTTGGAAGTTACTACCCTTTCTATGGCAAGGACTCAGAAGTTACTGACCCTTTTCTAGAAAATTCTAAATAATCTGCCCCTCAATTTACATTGATCTGCCATTAATTTGCATATAATTCAAAGTGGGTTTACATGAATAAAAATACAGTTGCCAGGAACCCATATGTTGTGGACTCTGGGCAAAATTGCCTGTATGTTATCTCTGCTCCTCAAGGAGTAGTACTGTTCAATTAAAGTATTGCTGCCTAAAACCATTGGCTTGCCCACGAATTCTTTCCTGAGTGAAGCCAGGAACCCTCCTGGGCTAAGCTCCAATTTGTGGGCTGCCTGTCCTGCATCAAACCTATACCAGGGAAAAATTACTCTCTGTATACAGTTGGAAGGATCATATTTAAAGATGGAGGTTTTTTTTTTTTTTTTTTTGAATCACAGCCTCTCTCAGTTGTGATCCCAAAACCCAATAGTAGCCTAGGTATGAGGAAGACTAAAGACTCATTTTTATCTAGGAAATAGATTTTGTGTTCTAGGCTCAATGATAGCTCCTGAAACATGCAAACAGCCTGGGAACTAACAAATAAGAACATAATTTGTATCTACTCTTTGAGGTGTGTGTGTGTGTGTGCACGTGTGTGTGTGCATGCGTGTGTGTGCTTGTGAACCCCATCTCCTCAAAAAATATGTCCCTACCTTCCTGGATACACATATGTGTGTGTATATATATATATATATATATATATATATATATATATATATATATATATGTATCATATGTTTTTATACATTTTTGCTTGTTTTTTTCCATCATTATTTTTGTTCTCCTTTGGTACTTTGAAAACTTCAGCTTTTCTATTTTATGCATACAGGGATCTAATAATTAAAGGGGTGCAGGCAGTGTCAAGGCGTATTTTCTCCAAAAAACTCACTCTGTGAAAAACATTCAATGTCAACAGAGGCAGCTCCTTCTCATCACTTGAAGACCAAACTTTTGACTCTTTGTAAAATAAGCCTCATTATAAAGTATCTTCCTGGCGGGACGCAGTGGCTCATGCCCATAAGCCCAACACTTTGGGAGACTAAGGCAAGTGGATTACCTGAGGTCAGGAGTTCAAGACCAGACTGGCCAATATGGTGAAACCTTGTCTCTACTAAAAATACAAAAATTAGCTGGGCTTGGTGGTGTGCACCTGTAATTCCAGCTACCAGGGAGGCTGAGGCAGGAGAATCGTATGAGGCAGAAGTTGCAGTGAGCTGAGATCACGCCATTATTGTACTCCAGCCTGGGAGACATGTGAAACTCTGTCTCCAAAAAAAACAAAACAAAACAAAAAAACAAAAAAAAGTATCTTCCCATCACAAATCCTGGTGGTTCTTAGTACTATTTAATACTTAACATGGATTTCTTCTTTATGCTAAACTCTCTATTCTATGAATACACAGATTAAAACTCAGAAACTCAGATGGGTAAATGTACTTGACTAAATTCCCATGGCTAGTAAATGTCAGAACTAGGACTGAAAAACCCTTCAGTTCCAATGTTCCTACTCCTTCTTTGAAAAATTTTTTTCTTAACCTTGGGGTTCAAGGGAAGTGAACTGTGCATTCCAAGTCTCTAAAGTAGCCATGACTATAACTGCTATTGAGGTGGCTCAGGGACTATAGAGATCTTAGGAACGGCAGCTGTGCAGTGACAAAATGTCTCCTCAGGACACCCATTTGATCCGAAAGCCAGAAAACTGACAGATATTCTAACATAAGAATTGTTCATTTTCATAGTGTTCGGTATTACAACACAGATGGGCACAATTTGATATCTCAGTTTTTGCACTGCTCATCCATAGATTTTTGCAGCATCATGTTCTGCTTATGAAAAGTCTTCAATATCAAAACAAAATTGACTGCTATTTTTCTTAGCTACTTCACATATGTAGAGAACAAAGAAGATAAGGACAGCAATGCAGAGAGAAAGGAGAGGAGAGAAGAAAAAGGAAAAGAAAGAAGGGCAGGGAAAGAAAGAAAAAGATATCTCCTAATAAGCATGATTGCAGTGGGAAGTAAAGACTTGGAATCCACCTCACCTCCTGATCCAAGTCCATTATTCTCTTACCATCTCATGCCATGTATGAGTAATGACACAATTTTTCTAACAGAGATGATGATAGTGTTCTTTACTCACATTGATTCAAAAATTAAGAAGAATGTTTTGCATTGTGGAAAATTGTTATTCAAACATTGATTACAGATATGTTAGGAGCCCATAATGTAACTGATGAGAAGATAGGCAAATAAACACTAGTGATATAAAATACTTAATGTTTTAAGAAAATGGCAGCTTTACATTCTGACTTCTAGAAAAATATCAAGGCTTTTTTTCTTTCTTTCAAACCCCTCCTCTCGACCTCTACTCTCAAACTAAGAAGAACTTCATACTGTCCAAAGGTAAAGAATTGGGCCACAGATATAGTGAATCGATAAAAAAAAAAAAAAAAAAAAAAAAAAAAGGCCAGACACAATGGTTCACTCCTGTAATCCCAGCACTTCAGAAGGCTGAGGTGGAACAATTGCTGGAGCCCCAGAGTTCCAGACCAGCCTCAGCAACACAGCAAGATCCTATATCTACAAAAACAGAAAAATTAGCCAGACAATGTGGTGCACACCTGTAGTTCCAGCTACTCAGGAGGCAGAGGTGGAAGGATTGCTTGAGCCAGGAGTTCAAGGCTGCAGCGAGTTATGATTGTGCCGCTGCACTCCAGCCTGGGCAGCTGGTGAGACCCTGACTCTAATAAATTAATTAAATAAATAATTAAAATAATGTTAAAGTTCTCATTGTTTTTTAGCCTATCTTGTATAAATTTCTTCCCTTTCTGCATTTCTTTGTCTACTTTTCAGTTCTCACAAATCCAGGCACAGATAATTCCTTCACAAGGACAGAAACATCATTCCTCATCTTTCCCCTAGTATGAGGAAAGGAATTATGGTATGCCATTAAATTGAGAAGAAATAGAGTCTCAAAACTGAAGCCATGCCAAATGCTATGGAGAAGCCACAGAGACTGGGGACAGAATGGAATTATAAGACTTCTCTGCAAGGAAGTGATTAGCAATTAGGAAGTCGCAAATGACCTTCCGAAGATCAACGTGAGCAGTGGATGTGTCATAAAGTAACTGCAATGGAGTGAATAAAATGAAAGAGAATGAGAATATTTGCTCATTATTTACAAAGTTTAGGTAAAGTATAACTTTCTTAGTAGAGATTTTGTGCAATCAAACAAACTTGTACCAATGAAAATACCCATTTTGGCTATCTATTATTATATACAACTCAGTAGCTTAAAAACTTATCGGTATCTTTTGTAGCAGAGTTTGTCAAGTAGTCTTAAATGGTGGTTCTCTGCTGAGATCACTCATGGCTTTTAGTCAGATGTCAACTGGGGCTGCTGCATTCATTCGAAGACTCGAATGGGCTGGACATCTAAGAAGGTTCACACACATGGACGGCAGCTGATGCTGACAGCTGGCTGTAGGCTGGACTGATACTGCGGACTGGAACCCTACACATAGCATTTCTGTGGGTCTATCTAGCAGCATGATAGATTCCTATGAGATTCTCCTGAGACTGAGTGTTCTATAAGAGCCAGATGAAAGTTGCAGTAATTTGTGTGGCATATTACCAAAAGTCATGCGATATCACTTTTGCCACATTCTATTGGTCAAAGTGAGACAAAATCAGTTATATTTATAGACCATAAAACACTGAATAAATTTCAAATACAACCTTCATTATTAGCAACTTTCTTCCACTACCAAGTTGGCTTTCGGATAATATTATTTGGAAGGACACACAGCAGTGCATTGTAATCAAAATGTACAACTTAATAAAATGTTTAGTTATGTGATGTAAATGGTCAAGATGCTGTTTTAGAGCATTTTCCTCTACATCATCTTCTGCAGAGTACAAGGGGTAGGATGTAAGACACTAAGATCCTTCTCCCCTTTATTCAGGTAAGTTCTATTCCCAAGATTGACAGACATCACTGATGATGTGATCATGTCTGCAGAGGCAGTAAGGAACAACAAAATGTAAAAGAGTGCTGAATTCAATGCTTTTGGCTAGAGAAAAATCAATGTATACATATGAAAAAAAAAAAGAACCAAAGTGATAGATGAGACAGTCTGGTCAAGCTTCAAGAGGAGACAGGCTAATCATTGAAAAAATATGAAGGAACTAATACACAAGGTAAGACTAAGTGTATGTGGCAGTGCAGTGTTAGGAGGAGTCCTTTAAAGTAAGAGTTTATTTGGCCTATAGAGAATGGTAGTATATTATACAGACTATACTGAGCTCTTATTTTGAATACATAAATGGCTGAGAAAGAGCAAGATGGAATTTTTTTACACATGCACTCCAATGCCCAGATTTGCTAAAACACTGTGCTTCCAGTCAATAGTACCCTTGTAGCTTGTTTGTTTAATTGATTGCATTGCTATGTCAACCTTCAAGACCAAAGTGACAAATATTTACAGACTGGAACACATAGTGTTTGGTGCAACTTGGTCTTCCCCGTGACACTGCTGCAAATGTTGCAGTTTACATAATATATTGAGCCAGACAGAATCTGAATTTACTACATTAAACAGGGTTATGTTCATTGATAGCCTCAAGTCTTATTAACATTACTGAGACTTGTGATTCTAGAAAAACAAACAAAAACATTAAAGCTCCAACTCATTTATATTGCCAACTAGTACTAATATTCTCAGTATGAAGTGATTTAATGAAAGGGCTCATTTAGAAAATAACAAATATTTGTCTTCTGGATTTGAAGATCTCTTCTTCGGACCTTATTTCACTTCTAAATATTCATGTGCAATGGATTTTGCCCCATTCAAATGAAAAATATGAAATGGAAAATTGTTTTGAATGTATTATTGATTTTACAGTTTTTGTTTGGAAACATCACATGAGTCCACATGCTTAGCAATTTTTGCTTTGACTTAAAAAAGACAACAGGACTTCAGTGTTTCCATGAAAAGTCTTGGCAGAGTAGAGTCGGTCAGATCTGAGACAAAACCCAACTGATATGAGAAACGTTGACAGACAAGTGCTTCTGTGAGAACAAGCAAGCAGTTCAGGTGTAGCCAGCCAGTGGGGAATGCAGACACTACATGTTTTTTTTCTGCTATCTAGGGGCTATTTAGTTTTATCTGTTAACTAGGGGCCTCAAATATAAAGCAGGCACTCCTTAGAGAACAAGATGAAATGAAGATTGAGTAGCAGGAAATAAGATGACTGACACAACTTTGGTGAGGTAGAAGAACAATGTTTCACCCTTTTCCTAGGTGAAGGCTGCAGCAACCTTATTCTAGGTGAAGAACTATCTTTAAGGACATAAATTAATCTTCCCAGAATCCAACCCAGGTGTATCAGACATCAGTATATATTTTTTCCATAATCATGCCAAAAACATATCTGCACATAACTACTAGTGATATTTTAATTAAAAAAATCTACTAAAAAGGACATCTGGGAATTTCATATCATTGATACAGAACCTGTTTTTCCTTTGCAGAGTTTCACCAGCTTCATGAAGCTGACCAGTACCAAGGAACTTGTGAGCTCAGTGAGGAGGAAGAACTTGTCTTTATTTACCACATTAAGAAATCCTGCATCTTAGCAGAGCTTAATGGTGCATACCTGTAGTCCCAGCTACTTGAGAGGCTGAGGAAGGAGGACCGCTTGAGCCCATGAATTCAAGGCTGCAGTGAGCTGTGATTGCACCACTGCATTCCAGCCTGGGGAACAGAACAAGACCCTGTCTTAAATATATATATATCTTTTATATATATATATTTAAGATATATACATATATATGATATATATATGATATATATATAAGATATATACATATATATGATATATATATGATATATATATAAGATATATACATATATATGATATATATATGATATATATATAAGATATACAGATATATATAAGATATATAGATATATATGTATAAGATATATATATAAATATATATATAAGATATATATATATATGTAGCATCCAGTTCAACATGGGTGATACTTATTTATTGATCTAAGATATGAGTGACATATTAATATAACGATCATGTCAAATGCCATTTTCAACTGGACTTTATGTGCCTGTTTCTGGGTTGAGTTTTTATAAATTATCTCATTTACTCCTTAAAATATAGTTGTATTACTATTTTTTTACAGATATAGAAACAAGTTCAGAGTTTGACAAAAAGTGGTGGAGACTGGATTCAAAGTCCTGCCACCTCTGATTCTCATGGTGTTATGAGAGAATATTTGTCGTTTGGGTGGTGCTTCATTCAGATAGAACATGGCTTCCACAGGTGGGTGAAGACACTACAGAGTGCTGAGGTTACCTAAATTCCAGGTGGGAGCTAAAATTCCACCTGATTTCTTGATGGTGTAGCTCATTAGCCTCAGTACTCCGAGGACTAAGCAACTCAAATGTAATAAGTGTCAACTAAAACTTCCAAGTAGAAGCACACTCATATTACGTGTAGAAAACGGATCAATTGTACAGATGCTACTGGTCCCAGGGAGAATTGCTAGGATTCCTTGTCAGCCATGGAATACTCCATCACCTTCTTGCCATTCTCTTCTATTTTATAAATGTAAGCTTTCTGATCAACTAGGACAGGCACCATGATATAGTTAGAAAAGCACCAAGTGGTTCAAGAAAATTAAAATCCAATTCTCAGTCTTAAATCAACTTCCCTCCATCTTTGTTATTTTATCTCCCTAGGCCTCAGCTCTGTACCTGTAACTGAGTAAACGAGATAATATTTAGTCTTTTTAGTTCCACAATCTCTCATCCAAAATTACAAATTATAGTATCTAAAAAACTTTCAGAAACAACTTGTGATGATGACAAAAGTTGGAATCAGGGGAACCATGTTAGAGAAAGAAAAAAACAGCACACTTCATCTGTGTCCACAGAATTGGTAGTATAGTCTGAAAAACAGGCTGTGCCCAGGAATCTGAGCCTACATGCTTAACTATATAGAGAAGAGACAGAGGATTTTCACAAATAATACTCTAATTTTGAAATCAAGAAGTGAAAGATGAAGTAAAGGGGAGCTTCTTTTAGTTGCAAAGTGCCAGTGCACACAAGAGCCGGTATATGCCTCTGGATCTTCAAAGATACCATGCTGAATATTCATGGAAAAATGGGTTATTTATGAAATTACAGTATCTATGTTCACCATCGTAGCAAATTTGAGATGGATTTCTGAAGTTTGCAATTAGGAATTTCTAGATAATTTGGGAAATATTAATAATAACATGTTCATTGATCGTTAGAGAAAATGTTGCTAAACTTGTTAGTAGTTTGACACTCAGTCTTTCTACTTCTGTACCTGGCTTATTTCTTTTTTTTTTTGAATCTATATTTTTTTATTATACTTTTAGGCTTTAGGGTACATGTGCACAACGTGCAGGTTTGTTACATATGTATACATGTGCCATGCTGGTGTGCTGCACCCATTAACTAGTCATTTAACATTAGGTATATCTCCTAAAGCTATCCTTCCCCCCTCCCCCCACCCCACAACAGGCCCCGATGTGTAATGTTCCCCTTCCTGGGTCCACGTGTTCTCATTGTTCAAATCCCACCTATGAGTGAGAACATGCAGTGTTTGGTTTTTTGTCCTTGAGATAGTTTGCTGAGAATGATGGTTTCCAGCTTCATCCATGTCCCTAAAAAGGACATGAACTCATCAGTTTCTATGGCTGCATAGTATTCCATGGTGCATATATGCACATTTTCTTAATCCAGTCTATCGTTGTTGGACATTTCGGTTGGTTCCAAGTCTTTGCTATTGTGAATAGTGCCACAATAAATATATGTGTGCATGTGTCTTTATAGCAGCATGATTTATAATCCTTTGGGTATATACCCAGTAATGGGATGGCTGGGTCAAATGGTAATTTCTAGTTCTAGACCCCTGAGGAATCACCACACTGACTTCCACAATGGTTGAACTAGTTTACAGTCCCACCAACAGTGTAAAAGTGTTCCCATTTCTGCACATGCTCTCCAGCACCTGTTGTTTCCTGACTTTTTAATGATCGCCATTCTAGCTGGTGTAAGATGGTATCTCATTGTGGTTTTGATTTGCATTTCTCTGATGGCCAGTGATGAACATTTTTTCATGTGTCTTTTGGCTGCATAAATGTCTTCTTTTGAGGAGTGTCTGTTCATATCCTTCACCCACTTGTTGATGGGGTTGTTTGTTTTTTTCTTGTAAATTTGTTTGAGTTCATTGTAGATTCTAGATATTAGCCCTTTGTCAGATGAGTAGATTGCAAAAATTTTCTCCCATTCTGTAGGTTGCCTGTTCACTCTGATGGTAGTTTCTTTTGCTGTGCAGAAGCTCTTTAGTTTAACTAGATCCCATTTGTCAATTTTGGCTTTTGTTGCCATTGCTCTTGGTGTTTTAGACATGAAGTCGTTGCCCATGCCTATGTCCTGAATGGTATTGCCTAGGTTTTCTTCTAGGGTTTTTATGGTTTTAGGTCTAACATTTAAGTCTTTAATCCATCTTGAATTAATTTTTGTATAAGGTGTAAGGAAGGGATCGAGTTTCAGCTTTCTACATATGGCTAGCCAGTTTTCCCAGCACCATTTATTAAGTAGGGAATCCTTTCCCCATTTCTTGTTTTTATCAGGTTTGTCAAAGATCAGACAGTTGTAGATATGCGGCATTATTTCTGAGGGCTCTGTTCTGTTCCATTGGTGTATATCTCTGTTTTGGTACCAGTACCATGTTGTTTTGCTTACTGCAGCCTTGTAGAATAGTTTGAAGTCAGGTAGCATGATGCCTCCAGCTTTGTTCTTTTGGCTTAGGATTGACTTGGCAATGCGGGCTCTTTTTTGGTTCCATATGAACTTTAAAGTAGTTTTTTCCAATTCTGTGAAGAAAGTCATTGGTAGCTTGATGGAGATGGCACTGAATCTGTAAATTACCTTGGGCAGTATGGCCATTTTCAAGATATTGATTCTTCCTGCCCATGAGCATGGAATGTTCTTCCATTTGTTTGTATCCTCTTTTATTTCATTGAGCAGTAGTTTGTAGTTCCCCTTGAAGAGGTCCTTCACATCCCTTGTAAGTTGGATTCCTAGGTATTTTATTCTCTTTGAAGGAATTGTGAATGGGAGTTCACTCATGATTTGGCTCTCTGTTTGTCTGTTATTGGTGTGTTAGAATGCTTGTGATTTTTGCACATTGATTTTGTATCCTGAGACTTTGCTGAAGTTGCTTATCAGCTTGAGGAGATTTTGGGCTGAGACAATGGGGTTTTCTACAAATACAATCATGTCATCTGCAAACAGGGACAATTTGACTTCCTCTTTTCCTAATTTTATACCCTTTATTTCCTTCTCCTGCCTGATTGCCCTGGCCAGAACTTCCAACACTATGTTGAATAGGAGTGGTGAGAGAGGGCATCCCTGTCTTATGCCAGTTTTCAAAGGGAATGCTTCCAGTTTTTGCCCATTCAGTATGATATTGGCTGTGGGTTTGTCATAGATAGCTCTTATTATTTTGAGATATGTCCCATCAATACCTAATTTATTGAGAGGTTTTAGCATGAAGGGTTGTTGAATTTTGTCAAAGGCCTTTTCTGCATCTATTGAGATAATCATGTGGTTTTTGTCATTGGTTCTGTTTATAGGCTGGATTACATTTATTGATTTGCGTATGTTGAACCAGCCTTGCAATTAAAAGAACTAGAGAAGCAAGAGAAAACACATTCAAAAGCTAGCAGAAGGCAAGAAATAACTAAGATCAGAGCAGAACTGAAGGAAATAGAGACACAAAAAACCCTTCAAAAAATCAATCAATCCAGGAGCTGGTTTTTTGAAAAGATCAACAAAATTGATAGACCACTAGCAAGACTAATAAAGAAGAAAAGAGAGAAGAATCAGATAGATGCAATAAAAAATGATAAAGGGGTATCGCCACCGATCCCACAGAAATACAAACTACCATCAGAGAATACTATAAACACCTCTATGCAAATAAACTAGAAAACCTAGAAGAAATGGATAAATACACATACACCCTCCAAAGACTAAACCAGGAAGAGAATAGACCAATAACAGGCTCTGAAATTGAGGCAATAATTAATAGCTTAACAACCAAAAAAAGTCTAGGACCAGATGGATTCACAGCCAAATTCTACCAGAGGTACAAGGAGGAGCTGGTACCATTCCTTCTGAAACTATTCTAATCAATAGAAAAAGAGGGAATCCTCCCTAACTCATTTTATGAAGCCAGCATCATCCTGATACCAAAGCCTGGCAGAGACACACACACAAAAAAGAGAATTTTAGACCAATCCTTGATGAACATCGATGCAAAAATCCTCAATAAAATACTGGCAAGCGGAATCCAGCAGCACATCAAAAAGCTTATCCACCACGATCAAGTGGGCTTCATCCCTGGGATGCAATGGTTATTTCACTTAGCATAATATTCTCCAGGTTCATCCACGACAATGACAGGATTTCCTTCCATTTTAAGGCTGAATAGTATCCTGTTACACACCCACACACACACACACTCATACACACACACCCCACATTTTCTTTATCTATTTGTCCATTGATGGCCACTTGGTTTGTTTCCATATCTTGGCTATTGTTAGTAATGCTACAACAAATGTGGAAGTGTAGATATCTCTTTGAGATACGAATACTAATTTAATTTATTTGGTTATATACCTAGAGTGAGACTGTTGGATCACAGGACAGTGTTATTTTTAGTTTTTGAGGGAATTCCAAATTGTTTTCCATAATGGCTACACCAATTTACACTCCCATCGATAGTGTAAAGGGTTCCCTTTCCTCAACACCCTCCCCAGTATTTGTTATCTTTTTTATTTTTGATAATGTTCATTTTAACAGGTCTGATGTGATATCTCATTGAGGTTTTGATTTATATTTCCCTGATAGTCAGTAAAGTTGAGCATATTTTTTAATATACCGGTTAGACATTTGTATTTTTCCTTTTGATAAATGTCTATTCAAGTCCTTTGCTCATATTTTTGTTGGGTTGTTTTCTTGTTTTTAAGTTATGAGAGTTTCCTATGTATTTTGTATTATCTCCTTATTGGATGTAGAGTTTGCAAATATATCTTCCCATTCCATAGATTGTCTCTTCACTTTGCTAATTGTTGAATTAACAACAATTAAGCTGTACTGAAGCTTTTTAGTTTGAAGAAATCTTATTTATGTATTTTTGCTTTTGTTGCTTGTGGTTTTGAGGAGATATACAAAAATTAATTGTCCAATCTAATGTCAAGAAGCATTTCCCTGTGTTTTCTTCTAATTGTTCAATAGTTTTCAGCCTTACATTTAATTACTTAATCTATTTTGAGTTGATTTTTATATGGTATAAAATAAAGGTCCAATTTGGATATCCTGTTTTTCCAACACCAATTATTGAAGACACTATGCTTTCCTCATTGTATGTTCTTGGCAACTTTGTCAAAGGTCAGTTGACCACAAATATGTGGATTTATTTCTTGACTTTCTATTGTGCTCTACTGCTCTATATGTCTGTTTTCTGTTTGTTGGTTGGTTTTTCTTTCTTTCTTTTTTTTTTAGACAGAGTCTTGCTCCATTGCCCTGACTGGAGTACAGTGGCATGATCTCGGCTCAATGCAATCTCCACATCCCAGGTTCAAGCAATTCTCCTACCTCAGCCTCCTGAGTAGCTGGGATTACAGGTGCATGCAGCCACACCTGACTAATTTTTTGTATTTTAGTAGAGATGGGGTTTCACTGTGTTGCCCAGGCTGTTCTCAAACTCCTGAGCTCAGGCAATCTGCTCATCTCAGCCTTCCAAAGTGCTAGGATTACAGGTGTGAGCCACCGTGCCTGGCCTATATGTCTGTTTCTTTTCTTTTCTTTTTTTTTTTTTTTTTTTTTTGAGATGGAATCTTGCTTTGTCGCCCAGACTGGAGTGCAGTGGAGTGATCTCGCCTCACTGCAAGCTCCGCCTCCTGGGTTCACGCCATTCTCCTGCCTCAGCCTCCCGAATAGCTGGGACTACAGGTGCCTGCCACCATGCCTGACAAATTTTTTTGTATTTTTAGTAGAGATGGGGTTTCACCGTGTTCACCAGGATGGTCTCGATCCCTGACCCTGTGATCCGCCCACCTCAGTCTCCCAAAGTGCTGGGATTACAGGCCTGAGCCAGCTGTGCCCAGCTATGTGTCTGTTTTTATGCCAGTACCATACTGTTTGATTATGATAGCTTTGTAATGTATTTTGAAATCAGGTAGTACAATGGCTTCAGATTTGCTCTTCTTGCTTGAGATTACCTTGACTATTGTTTCTTGTGTGGTTCTATATTAATTTTAGGATTGTTTCACCTACTTCTGTGAAAAATGCCATCGGAATTTTGTCAGGGATTACATTGAAACTGTAGATCACTTTGAATAGTATGAGCATTTTTAATTCTTCTAATCTATGAACAAAATGATATTTTTCCACTGTCTCTTCTTCAATTTCTTTCATCATTGTTATATGGTTTTTAATTTATAAATCTGTCACCTCCTCGGTTAATGTTTTCCTAAGTATTGTATTCTTTTTAGTGCTATTATAAATGGGGTTGTTAATTTCTTTTTTGGAGAGTTTGTTGCTAGTGTATAGCAAGGCAACTGATTTTTCTATTTAATTTGGTATCTTGCAAATTTACTGAACTTATTTATTAGTTCTAAGAGGCTTCTGGTAGATTCTTTACAGTTTTCTATTTATAAGACTATGTCATCTGCAAACAGAGACAATTTTACTTCTCCCTTTCTGACTGGATGGCTTTTATTTCTTTGTCTTGCCTAATTGTTCTGGCTAGGACTTCCAGTACTATGTTGAATAGAAGTGACAAGATGGGTATCATTGTCTTGTTCCTGATATTAGAAGAAACATTTTCAGCTATTCACTTCATTATGTTAACTGTGAACCTGTTACATATGGATTTTATTATGTTGAAGAAGTCTTTCTACACCTAATTGGTTGAGTTTTTATCATGAATGCATATTAAAAATTGTTAAGTGCTTTGTGTGCACATATTGAGATGGACATATAGTTTTTATCCTTCATTCTATAAATGTGGTATGTCACACTTACTGAATTGCATATGTCAAACCATCTTTGCACCACAGGGATAAATCACTCTTGGACAAGCTATATAATACTGTATGATTTCACTTATGTGGAACCTATAGAAGTCAAACTTATAGAAGCAGAGAATAACATGATGGTTGCCAGGGGCCGGGGTGGGGGAGTGGCAATGGAGAGATGTTGGTTAAAGGGTACAAAGTCTCAGTTGTGCATGATTGAATAGTTCAGAAAATCTAATGTACAGTATGGTAACTGTAGTTAATAATGCTTATTGTATACTTGAAAATTGTTAAGAGAGTAGACAAATGTTCTCACCACACCAAAAAAAGGTAATTATGTGAAGTGATGTATATGTTAGGTAGTTGCTTGTGATAATCATTGCACAATGTATATGTATATCAAAACCTCACATTATACACCTTTAATATGTAATTTGTTATTTTTCAATTATACCTCAATAAAGCTGGAAAAAATTAAATAAAACAAATAAATAAAATCTACTAGTACTTTTTAAAAGTATCTAATAGTATTCAAAAATAATGTGACATTGTTAAAATGCTCTTATAGGGTTTTGTTTTGCTAGTGATCTTCATTATGGATATGACTATGATAAACAATAATTGCAGCCTGCTATTTGTAGATAATGTTTGATTTGTTAAAGTTAGTGAGACTGTTCAATTGACAAAATCAAAAGTGAACCCAAACCTAAATATACACTATTGGTCTCAGTATCTCTCCTCTCTCTGTCTCTCTGACACACACACACACACACACACACACACACACACACACACACACAATGTCCCTTCTCAATTGGTCTGGGACTTAGCACTTAGTGACAAGAACCATGTGAAATTTTGTCTATTAGAATTTTCTATAGAGCTTTAAATAACTCCAGTGATAGTCAAGTTACTTTTTCCTTGAGTTTTTTTAAGGTGCCAGCCAAAAAGGCTGCCCTTAGCCAGGACAAATTTATCAGTTTCAAAGGAAAAGATAATAAAACTGTCATTTCCAGCCATAGCACTGCAGGTGCTGCTGATATCCTAACATTAAAGCTTATTATAAGTAGAGCTGTCTCTTAGTTTTTGATATCAAAATTGTTTCCAAGTCTTATTAAGACCCCATGTTACTCTTGATGGGAGGAAAGGAAAGAAGAACCTAAAGTGACCCCAATGGGACATTGAAGTGACTGAGCTATTAAACACCTGGCTATGTGGATGGTTTTGTGGAGTTCTTCAATTTATCACAGATACAACCTGCCAGAAGAAAATTAATTTAAAACTCACTTCCCTTGCAGGCCTGCTAAAGATACTCAAAATCTGAGAAAGGTTTACAGAAAGAGAGTCAAAATAATTGTTGACTCCCAAGAGGCATTCCTGGTTTCTGTTCTTTTAATAACTTGCATCTTCTGACAGCTCTTTATCAACAGGACTTCTAAATGAAGGAAGGAAGTAAATAAAGTATCCCTAATGTGGAATAATCTACAGGAAATGGTTCTGACTTAATGAAGAAGACAGAGTAAATATCTCTTCCATCATCTAAGGATGAATAGTCTGGCTTTTCTAACAAAAGGCAGTATATCTTATTTAAAATAGCTTTGTAGTCAAACAGAACTGTGTTCAAATTTTAGGTCTTCTACTCATTAACTGCATAAACATGGGCAAATTTCCTAAAACCACTGAGTTGTCTATATCAATAAAATTGAAATATTAGTGGCCACATTTAGGGCTGCAGAGAGAATGAGTGGGTAGCATCTCTTCTGCTAGGAATGTTCTTCCTTCAGATTGCTATAAAGCCATATCCTTCTCACCATTCAGGGAAATCCCAAAGCCACCTCTTCAGACAGTTTTCCCCTCATTACCTATATTAGTCTGTTTTGCATTACTATAAAGGAGTAAAGGCTGGGTAATTTATAAAGAAAAGACATTTATTTGAGCTAATTGTTCTGTAGGCTGTAGAAGAAGTGTGGTGCCAGCATCTGCTTCTGGTGAGGGTCTCTGGAATCTTACAGTCATACTAGAAGGTGAAGCAGAAGTGAGTGTATCACATGGCCAGAGTGGAGCAAGGGAGAGAGGGAGGTGCCAAGCTCTTTTAAACAATGAGATCTTGCATGAATTCACAGAGTGGAAACTCACTCATTACTGTGAAGACATCTCCAAGCCATTCATGAGGGATCTGTCCTGATAACCCAAACACCTTCCATAGGCCCACCTCCAACATTGGAAGTCACATTCCCACATGAGATTTGGACAGGACAAACATCCAAACCATATCATTGTGACCTTGGTCCCCTAAATCTCATGTCCTTCTCCCATTGCAAAATCTAATCATCCCTTCCCAATAGTCCCCAAAGTCTCAATTCATTTCAGCATTAACTCAAAAGTCCAAAATCTCATCTGAGACTCAAGGCATGTTAGTTCCACCTATGAGCCTATAAAATCAAAAAACAAGTTATTTACTTCCAAGATAGAATGATGGTATAGGCACTGGGTAAATATTCCCATTCCAAAGGGGAGAAATCAGCCAAAGAAAGGGACAACAGATGCCATGCAAGTCTGAAACCCAGAAGGGAAGTCATTTAAATCTGAAAGGTCTAAAATAATATTCATTGACTCCATGTCCTGCATCCTGGGCACACTGGTGCAAGGGGTGGGCTCCTAAGGCCATAGGCAGCTCTGTACCTGTCACTTTCCTGGGTGAAGCCCTATGGCTGCTGTAATGGGTTGGAGTTGAGTGCCTGCAGGTTTCTCAGTCTCAGGGTGCAAATTATTGGTGGCTCTACCATTCTTGGGTTTGGAGGGCAGGGGCCACCTTCCCACAGCTCCACTAGGCAGTGCCCTGATAGGAATTCTGTTTGGAGGCTCCAACCCCACATTTATCTTCAGCACTGTCCTAATAGAGTTTTTCTGTGGGGGCTGTGCCCCGTGGGAGGCTTCTGTCTGGGCACCTAGGCTTTTCCATACAACCTCTGATATCTAGTTGGAAGCTGCCAAGCTTCCTTCACTCTTGCACTCTGTGCAACTGCAGACTTAACACCGCATGGAAGCTACTGAGGCTTCTGGCTTGAGTCCTCCAGAGCTGTGGCCCAAGCTATACCTGGGACTCTTTGAGCCAAGGCTGGAGCCAGAGTGGCTGGGATTTGGGGAACAGTGTCCTGAGGATGAGCATGGCAGTCCTGCCATGGACCTGGCCCCTGAAGCCATTCTTTCCTCCCAGGACTCTGAGCCTGTGATGGTAGGAGTAGCCTGGTAGAAATCTTTCTGAATTGCCTTGAAGGCCTTTGTCCTATTGTCCTGGCTACTAGCACTTGGCTCTCCTTTAGTCATGACAATTTCTCTAGGATGTGGTTGCTTCACAGCTGCTTCAATTCCTCTCCTGAAAAAGCTCTATCCTTCCTTATCACCTTACCAGGTGGTAAATTTTTCAATTTTTTACATTTTTCTTCTTTTTTCCTTATAAATTCCAACTTTAAATTATTCCTTAGCTCTCATATCTGATCATAGGCTGTAAGAAGCAGCCATACCACTTATTGAATGCTTTGATGCTTAGAAATTTCTTCCTCCAGATACCCTACATCACTACTCTTAAGTTCAACCTTCCACAAAGTCCTCGTGCATGGACACAGTACAGCCAACTTCTTTGCTTGGGTGTAACAAGGGTGACCTTTGCTCCAGTTCCCAATACATTCCTCATTTCCAACTGAGACTTCATCAGCCAGTCCTTCACTGTCCATATTCCTATTAGCACTTTGTTCACAACCACTTACAAAGTCTCTAAGTAAAGTTCTAAATTTCCCTTGTCTTCCTGTATTCTTCTGAGCCCTCCACATTCTTCCAACTTCTGCCTGTTACCCAGTTCCAAAGCCACTTCCACATTTCAGGTATCAGAGTAACACATTTCAGGTGTTACTCTAGTAACAACCCACTCCACATTACCAATTTTCTGTGTTAGTCAATTTTGCATTGCATAAAGAAATACCTGAGGCTGGGTAATTTATAAAGAAAATGGAAAGGTTTATTTTGGCTCAAGATTCTGAAAACTCCATAAGAAATGTAGTGCCGGTATCTGCTCCTGGTGAGGGACTCAGGAAGCCTGCAGTCATAGCAGAAGGCAAAGGGGGAGAAGTCATGTCACATGGTAAGAGAAGGAGCAAGAGAGAGGGGGAGGAAGCTCCAAGCTCTTTTAAAAAACCAGATCTTGTGTGAACTCATGGAGTGAGAACCCACTCATTACTGTGAGGACAGCACCAAGTTATTCATGAGAGATCTGTTCACATGAACTAAATACTTCCCACTAAGCCCCATCTCTAACATTGGAGATCACATTTTAACATAGATTTGGAAAGGACACACATCCAAGCCATATCATCACCCAAAGTTGCTGCCACACCAGTCCTATAACTCTAGCTTATTTGCTTTAGTGATCTATTTGCAGAAATTGTTTAGGTTGCAAATGTACTTATTACGTATTTCCCCCAGTAGAATATTCTATCTCCAGCCTATGCTGTCTCCAGCTTTTGGAACTGTGGCTGACACCTAGTATAGCTTCATATAAATAGTTTGAAATGAATAAAAAACAGAGGCAAAGTAAAAGTACTCAACATAGATGCTAGTCTATAATAGATGCTCAAAATTTTGCCACAAATAATCGATTTTGTTGGGACTGTTAGTTTTAAATGGTGTTCTATCCCAAATGAATATCTATGCCAAAATGTTAAAGTTTGGCAGAACTTATTTAAATCTTGGAATTATGTTTAAGACAGCTATTTCTGGAGACTTAGGAAATTTGTTATAAATGTGAATGTGACAAGTAGGAAAATATAAAAATCCCTTTTTCCTACTTTGTGTTGATTACATCAAGCTTTTGTTGGCAGAATAAAATTTGGTTCGCTATCAGCACATTATTTTCTCCATCCAACTACCTGCATTCCAGGTGCACAACATGGGCTGACATACACCAATGAAAAAAGTTGTTAGAGCAATGATGGAAAAATAAAGATGCTAAACACTAAGTTTAAAAGCTAAAGATTAAGGTATGTGAGAAAAAGAAGAGACTTGGATGATACAGCAATTTATTTCTTTCTCTATCCCTTCCACCAAACTCTGAGACTCTGGAAGAGCCCTGCAAGTGAGAGAAAGCAATACAGTTAAACTGGAAGGATTTGAGAAGTTTAGCAAAAGATTTGTTTTTGTGGTCTTCCCTTAAACTTCTCCAAGACTAAGCTGCGAGAAGAGACTGGAGTGTTGATAAAATGCCTCCTTTGAAATTGAGGGATATGAGAATAGAGAAAAACCAGGCTGTGCTGATCATTTCTAGAAATGGAATAAGCAGCTACGAGAGATGTTAGAAGCAAAGCATACCCATTCGCAGCCCTGAGTTTCTTACAGCCCCCAAGTGTCATAGGGTAGCATTCAAAATCTACAAGCTCAGAAGCGAGTGCAAAAGATTGCTGGGAGAAAGCAGGAAGAGAGGGAGGAAAAATAAGGAGGAAGAAAAAGGAAATGGGAGTTTTATCATGAGGATATGGAGATATGCTTTGAGATGATGAGGCATGCAGACTCCTCCCTAAAGGTTGTGGGAATGCTGACTCCCTGGTTCCCTCAGAGGATCACCATTGTCAGGGAGCTGCTCAGTTCCCATTCAAGGGCACCTTTACATTATTGGACCAATGATCAGATACAACAACGTCCATCTGGAATGGAAATCTCAGAAATAAGCAGCAATGGCTTTTTAATTTTTTTAATACAGTTTTTGGCTACTTTTCCAGCAATACTACTCCAGCAGTTTCTCAAGCCTTACTACTCCCCCTTCTACCCGCCAGTCATAAAACCATCAAAAAGAAAAGGGACAAAGAAAATAAACCTGAAGGGAGGCACTAAGGTTTTAAAATATAAAACACACACCTGGAAGTCAGAAAAAATGTGAATTACCATAAAATAACAAAAATAACCATAATCACAGCCATCACTACAGGAGCAAACACAGATATGATATTTGGTATATGCCAGACACTGCTCCCAGTTCTTCATATAAATTAATACATTTAATATCCACAACACCATTATGATTTAGTTACTCTTCCCATCCTCACTTTATAAACAGTGAAACTGAGACACAGTGGGGTAAGTATAACTTGCTAAGTGTGACGTACATGGCAGAATATGAAGTCTAACTCTTAGTTTATGCTCCTAACCACTATGTACCTGACTTATATATAAAGTAGGTGTAATTGTATTTGCATATAAAATTCTGTGACTTTCAGATTAAACATACTTTTGGATAGGGACACAAGTCTAAACTTTAGGTGTCTGCCAAAAACTAGGACTAAATATGAAAAAGGGTCATGTTAAGAGGAGCTTTCTAGGCCGGGCATGATGGTCCATGCCTGTAATCCCAGCACTTTTGGAGGCTGAGGTGGGTGTATTGCTTGAGCCCAGGAGGTCAAGACCAGCCTGGGCAACATACTGAGACCCTGTCCCTACAAAAAATACAAAAATTAGTCTGGCATGGTGTTGTGTGCCTATGGCGCCAGCTACTAGAAAGGCTGAGGGGTGGGAAGATCACCTGAGCCTGGGAGTTTATGGCTGCAGTGAGCCCTGATTGTGCCACTGCACACCAGCCTGGGCGAAAGAGTGAGAAGATCCTGTCTCAAAAAAATTTTTTTTTTCTAATTAGATATTGAAAGAAAAAAATAACATGATCAAGTGTGACAATGGTATCTACTCTTATGTCCTAGTTTCTCATCTTGTAATTTTTAAAGCTAGATTTACAATTATGAAATATTGCCATCAAGTCTTCTAAGCTATGCCTTTTATCTCCTCCAGTGTGAACCCTTGAGAATACTATCAGCACCAGGTGGTCTCATCCACTCATTATCCTTACAGAAAATGCCATGGGGTTATAGAAATTTCTGTTAAATCTATTCATATATGCCACAAAAAATTAAGGCACATATAAACAGATAAATAAATAGGTAAGTTGTGTTGCTATTTGTCCAGTTTCTCTCTTGCTTAATCACACCAAACGTTTAAAAATAAATTTCAAAATTACTTCCAGACCCCTCTTCTAGGGGGAAAAAAAAAAAAAGAAAAACCACCCTGTTGGTTGTTTTTCTTCCACAGTAGAGAAAGCTAGAGGGAGGATTTGGTTAAGAAAAGAGTGTTAGAATCTTGCTGCGTGTTCCACTGTAGAGTACACAACCAGGTCTTTCATTGAAAGCAGATCAAACGATGGACATATTATTCGTTATTGTTCAGCTGCCTGGGTTTAAGATGAAATTACCAGCTGCCCAGGGGTCCAGCATTTTAGCTTCAGATCTAGCTGTGCTCATAACACAAGGCACAATGCTTAATGGCATTGTCAGCCATTTAACATAAAAAGAACATGGTGTAATCAAGTGGGGACTTTTCCACTGTGTCACTCTTGGGGCCCATTTCACAAAACCTAGGAAACCTGCCACTGAGTTTTAAGGGGAGAAAAAAAAAACAGAAAATGCCTCAAAGGGGGCAAAGGTAATTTTTCTCTATTAATGTTTTTTTCTAAAATAATATTTTTAGTTTCTTTTTTTTAACATGCCCCTATTTTGAGAAAGTCATACTGATGGCTTCAAATCTGGTACTTTCAGATTCTTACTTTCTTTAAATTCATGGATTAGAATCTAAGGAAAATCAGAAGCTCCCAAAATGCAATATCTAAGACATCTAGGTTGGTATAACCCTTGGGAAGGAGATCTAGTTCTTAGCAGGAATAATGTTACTTGCCACCTAAATAAGTGCTAAGGTTTAGTGTGTGGAAATAACAAAGCCAGGGAGATGAAATGGATTCTAGATATATTAAATCTGGGATAGTTTCAAATAACAGCCTTAAGCAATAAAGTGAAACTTCCATCCTGTATTCATAATGTCAGTGTTACTGTGGAAATGCTAGCTTTAAAATATAAGCACCCAAGGTTGTCTTCGCAAAAGACTCTCTTCAGACATTATTTTAAGTCCCTTTGAACAGAGAAGCAGAATGTCACCAATTGGGGACTCTTGAGTTTTGATGTGATGAATTCTTGCTGACATCCTAGTGCTTGAGATGCTTCTCTTGAATTATTTGGAACTGAAGGCATTTCCATATGGACAAGCTCTCATTCCAAGAAGACAGAATGATGGTGAAAAATGTGGGCCCAGATAGAAAGATGACTTGAATAGCTGTGCCATTTTGGAAATTGTGGGATAGTAGACTGGCAGGGGGGTAGGGTAGTAAGAGGAAGATAAGTGCGTTGTAAATATAGAATCAAAACCTGCCGTTTCCAAGTGCAAAATCCACTATAAGCTGGATAAATAACCCTGAACATGCTCCTCTTTGCTACTGTGAAGAAATAGCAGAATATTTGCTGTATTTGGAAGAAAGCAAATGTGGAATTAGAAGTTCTGGGAGTGCTGGCTCTCTTAACAAGCTGTGAAAACTTGCACAAATTAATTATCCTCACTGAGCCTCAGTTTGCTTACCTGTATATTGGAGCTAGTAACATATTGTCTAATTCATATGATTCTTGTGATAATCAAAATTGAAATGAAATAATGCATGTGAAAATGTATTGCAAATTGTAAAGAATGCAAGTGTAGTATGCTATCATAATTAGGTAGTTAAAAGCTAGAAAAGAATAAAGAGGTACTTGAAATGCTAGCTTCGTGATGGCAAGTGCATTATTTTATTCACTGATATATCCGCAGGGCCTACAATGCAGTCAGGCAAATTGGGAAGCGCTCAATAAATTACTGTTGAATGAAAAAAATAAATTACTGTCTTGTTTCTTTTTGAAAGACTTAGAAACATTCTTCGTTTGCTTTTGGAATTCGTTTCTGAAACACCGTGCCTATGCTAAGAATACAAAACCATTCAAAGCTCCTGTTTTCTCAGTAAAATGGGAATGTTATCTTACCTTTCATCACCAAGGGAGGGAAAAATACATTGTCTTATTTGATCTCTCTTCCAATAATTAAATGTTGAAAAGAAAAAGTGCACATGTATGTATTCATATACACATCAAGGTCAATAAAATTTGAATAAAAATTCGAAATTTCGATCTTTTGTATCAATACTACATTGTCTATGAAGTTTAGCTCACTAACAAAATGGGCAATTGCCAATGGCCTCATTATTTGTTAAACGGGTAAAGTGTTGGCACAGAAACACACACACACACACACACACACACACACACACACACACAACCAGTTCTGGTCTTTGGTTTAAAATGTGACCTTACAGTAATGACTAGAAAAACAATTCAGTTTTAGGACTGGAAATGTCAAAGCACTCTATCAGCCTTTGGATGGTTTTTCTATTTCTTACTGTCTCTCAGAAATAAAAATTCATTGCTACGAAGTAGCTGTTTCTTTATAATGGCAACTAAGTTTGTGGAGCACTAGTTATCCAGCAACAAAATGTATCAGACAGTATCACATAAAATTTTTTGACAATTATTATTAGAACTAAACTGAATTTTATATTTATGCTTACAATAGAGAAAGGGTTTCCCAAATAATTCATGGTATACATAAGTATGCTGGAAACATATTTAAAACACTTCAAAGAAATAATTGTTTTCAAGGTCCCTCTGGCACCTGAGAAGTACTATTTATAAGCAATTATTTGACATACTACTTATAAGTCATCCTTATGTGTGTGGAAAAAAAACAAACAAACCAAAAAACGGGTGCCTAAAGACCTCTATTAGAAAACGATTTGCCATTCTATTTCCATCCACTGTATGTATTTGAAAGATATTAAACTGCCTTAAAAGTATATTAAAATCCAGTTTTTTTCTTTATTTTCTACATACTCAAACTAGAATCTCTTCCCCCACGACTCCCCAAAGACACACAAACATGTTCATATGCATTTGCTCTGCAATAGTGAGGTTTTCCTGTATTTTATTTTGTCATTCAGAGAAGAGAACTGTGTCGGTTGACTTTACTTGTCCTAAAGAGTAAGCGCAGGATCCCCTTTGCCGGCATCAGCACCTCCTCTTTATCCTTCTTATGCCACGTCTCCAGCTCTAGGCCTTATGAGAGGCTCCCACAGGCTCCACCTTGTATCCCTGGAAGAATAATGCTTCCCTGTCTCTCACCCAGGTCTTGGCAAAAAGCAGAGATCACTGCGGCCAATTTTCCCTGGGGAATGGTCTGAATTACTTACCCACTTGAGTGATGGTCTTGGCAAAATGACTAATTGATGGCACTGCCTGGTGTTTATTATTCTAATAGTCCTGAAGAAAGGCTGGATGATTCTCCATTAACCCACAATGAAACTCCAGGGGAGCATTTCCACAGCACTTCAGAACTTGTTAAACTAAAAGTAATTGGGCATATAAATTTGGAGGGTCTTATTTGTTCTGCCAGCAGTAAGTGGAAGAAAAGAATGGCCATATTTACCCTATTTAAATATTCCATTCAAAGAAAATATGCCGAAAGGACACTGACTATCCAGGGTCCTGAGAGACAGATCTTGGAAAGACACCACAGAGCACACGTGAGCCATTATACCACTCTCATTGGAGCACATATGGTCACATATGACTGCTCTAGCATTTGTGCCTTTATTTGTAGTAGCAGATGAAACAACAAATGCATCCAGTCGGGAAAATACTATGCTGGTTCACGTTTAGCATGACTTTCCACACTCTACCTTTGGCCCATGAATATTGACAACATGGTGCACACTGGGAGAGGAGAGCTGGGGAGCAAACATTACAAACGCAGGCACAGGATTTTTATGTTAATATAGAAGAACAGTCCAGGATCTTGGTGGAATAGGAGGGTATGAGTGTTAGCAAGATAAGCAGCAGAGAGAGCCTTAGAGAGGGAACCCACAAAGCTGAAGGCAGAGAGCAAGGAAAATTGAGAGACATGGAGGGGAGCTAGGCATTGGCAACAGTTTGCTGTGATTTCATCCAGATTAAAATTTGCTGAATAGTGGTGGTATTATTGCTTTTGCATTTTTATTAGATCCACAGCTTGAGTTTGTCTCTCACCTGGGAGTGCTTTAAATAACTGTGACCTTCCATGACACAATTCTTCTTTGCATAGGCTTTCCCTTCCCTCCCTGAGATAAGGAAGAAACACATTAAAAGCCACCCAGTAGAGGAGTTACATGGGTGCAGAATGGCTCGAGCAATTGGAACACCGATAAGATTAACAAACGTCTAGGTTGGTCTCATTCTCCAGAAGTCATTGTAAGTGAACCACAGTAGTAGTGGGCATCTCATGTGATGAAACTCACATTTTGTAGTAGATACTTATACTTCATATTAAATCTCCAAACAATATCATGCAGATACATATCAAAAGCACCTTGCTGCATACCTGTCAGGTGCTTCTCACCTCCAGCTCAGGAGCCTCCCTGTTGGTGCTGAAGCATGACATGCACAAGACTGCTAGGCACCCATGCAAGTGCAATCAGGAGGCATGGAGGAATTACTATCCCATGGGACAAACCAATGGGAAACAGGATCCATAATTTTTTCTCCCATTGTTCTTTAATGGACTGTTCAATGACTCAAGTACATGGAGGACAACTATGGGGGGTATGAGTATGGGGGACAAAAACTGTATAAAAAATGAACTGGATTATTGTAACAGAACACTGTAGGGGATTAGAAGGTGGTTCGTGTCTTCTTTTTTATAAAGTATAGCATTTTACAAACACTTATTAGTATAACTTCCCAGAAGATAGTCCCAAGAGATCTACTATGTTTGATTTGATACCAAGTGGTGGCCAGCTTGATAGCACACCTTGTTACTGAACCTTCTCCATTCTCTGCTTCATTTCCCTTTTTCTTCACTCTTGTGGCCCAGGATTTCACTCGGTGATAAATTGGTAACATATAAATCTCTGCCTGGGGCTCTGCCTCACTGAGTCACAGGGACACCTTCATTTACAGTACCGACATGAATCTACCAGAAAATGGCCAGGAAATCATCTTACCATGTTTAATGCTGACTTAAGTACTTGGATTACAACTGTGGATGGTAGGAAATACAAGGGATAGAAGCTGTATTTACTGCAAAAAAAAAAAAAAAAAAAAAAAAAATGGAGGTAGTAGCATGACTGAGTCATTGTAGCACAGCCTGGCAGGGAATTCCAGCTAATTCACACTTTCCTGTTATGAAATGCATATTTTAGGAATTATCTTAAGTTTTGTTCTTAGAGTTTAGATCATTGGTAATGTACATGTGTTTTTTGGTTTAGAAAATTAGAAAGGGTCTACAATAAACAGGACATTAGAGGCCAATGTCTAAAATAACCCAAAGCCAGAATATTTACTGCAGAAAGATAATAACTATCTCAGCTCTTGTATGTACTGAGAATAAAATGAGAAAACTCGTGCAAAGTATGAGAAAGTAGTAGTGGGCATCTCAGGTGATGAAACTCAAATTTTGAGTAGATACTTATACTTTCACACTAACTTAATGTGCAAGTATAAGTATCAGCTACAAATGAAGTTATAGAACTTTCATAATAATTTTATGAAATCGTTCCTCAGCATATTTGGAATTTTGTATTTTTGTTTTTAATTTCAATTTTTAATTGTTAATTGATAAAACTGTGTATATTTATGGGTGACAAAATGATGCCATAATTTATTAATATGTGTGATAATTAAATCAACCTAATTAACATTCATCACCTCAAATAGTTATCATTTTGTTGTGGTGACAACATTTGAAATACACTCGGCAATTTTAAAGTGTACAATATATTATTATGTTCACCACACTGCAATATGTCTCAAAGAAAAATATTTTATTCCTCCCATCTAATTGAGGCTTTGTATCCTTCAACCATCATCTCCCTGTTCCCCAATCTCCACCTCCAGCCTCTGGTAGCCACCATTCTGCTCTTGCTTCTTTGACTTGGACTGCTTTTGATTCCACAAATAAGTGATAACCAGTAGTGTTTGACTTTTGGTACCTGGCTTATTTCACCTAGCAATATAGTCTCCAATTTCATGCATGTTTTTGCAAATGACAAAATTTATTTCTTTTTACGCTGAACAGTGTTCCATTGTGTATATATACCACATTTTCTTTATTCATTCATATGTTGATGGACACTTTGGTTGATTCCATATGTTGATATTGTGATTGGTGCTGCAATAAGCATGAGAGTACAGCCATCTCTTTGACATACTGACTTTGAATATTTTGGGTGGATACCCCAAAGTGAGATTGCTGTATCACATATTAATTCTACTTTTAGTTTTTTGAGGAAACTCCAAAATTTTTGCATAAGAGCTGTACTAATTTACAATCAATGTGCATTCAGTACAGCAGTATCCAAGGCTTCCCTTTATTCCACATTACTTTTTGCTTTTTCAGAGCCCATTTATTTTATAAATTGGTGGTTACGTATTGTGCTATTTTGTGATCATTTCAAAAACTTCAGTTGACCTCATTAAAGGTATTATGCACATATTTGATACTTTGGAGAACACATATTCTGGGACCCTAAAATTGTACACTGGAGAGAATTTTATGTTAATCTCTAAGGGACATTCATCCAAATCTGACTCTGGATTGACAGCATAGTCAGCTTGAAAGTCTTATATGAATGGTTCACGTTTTGAGGGCTAGAGTCTTTTGTATAAAGGCAAATATTGCTAGGTGAATAATCATTTCCTGTGAACAATGGTTCCATGGCTTTTGGGTACAGAGATTTTCAGAAATAAAGATCGACATGGAAGTTTTGGTTTTTGAACATTTACATTGTTCTAGAGTCAAATAAGGTGTTTAAAAAGGTGACATACTGCTGGAAGCAATTCAACTACTTGAAGATATAATGTGTCTGAAGATGTGGTTACACATTCATCTTGCATTAAATTAATATATCTTATCTAGGAAGTGGTTTCAGATTTTAGATTTGACCCTACTGGTCAGAAATGTACTTTTTATTTTCCAAAATCTATCAGAAGTTATCATTTGAAAAACAGATGTTGGAAGCTTATTTTAAGATATTGGGGTCTTATTGAGAGAGAATGGTATCAAGGACTATTTTCAAAATATTAATACTTGGGAGATCAAGTATTCTTAACTGGAGCATGTCAGGATAGTATTTGCTCAAATTTACATTTGAGGTTGTTTTCTTAGCCACTGAGTACTTAAGAAATACCTGAATATGTCTCAGATGACTTCCTTGGGGGAGGATGGAGAGGCTAAAGAGAAGTGGAACATAAAATACTGGACACATCCAATAAATTCCAGGAAGTATTGAGTTTTCCTAAAGCATCTGTGAGTTATTCATTCAATCAATACCAAGATTACTTTAGTGTACATTATCTGTAGAAGATGACAGATAAGTCAACACTGGCTGATGAATTTTACATCTTCAAACGTTAATATTAAAATAGTTTGTTTTGCTGTGACATCGGTGCATCCCCTCAATAGAATTCACCTACCTTCTAAGTATCTCTCTTTTGTAAATATTCTCCACTGGATCTTAACTTACATGAGGGCAGTGACCACGTGTATCTTGCATAAAACTATATGTTGGAAATGAGTTATCAACAAAAGTTACGGAAAAAATAAATGAATGAACTAAAATAATTTGGTATCCCCATGATGATTTTCTTAAAATTGGACCATTAGAGAAATACAGTCTCATCCAGATAAAGAGTAGCTCTTTGTTCTTCAGTTTCCCCATTTTTGTCATTCACCAAATATTTGCTGAGGTTTTTTGTTCTTGTTGTCTACATGATGTCATGCAATGTACTAGGGATTTTGCAGGAAAGCAAAAGTAACACAAAACAAACATCAAAAACTTTTTCCTTACCTCCAACATTAATTTTAGATAATATAATATCTGCATCAAAAAACTTGAAATAAATATGAAAGAAATCCTAATGAATTTACGTATAACAAGATTTGGAATGTGCATTCACATATCATCTTCCTAAATCTTGAACACATTAATTACTTTTAAAAAGGAGAAAGCCTCCAGAGTAGCTGGGACTAGAGGCGCATGCCACCATGCCCGGCTAATTTTTTAAATGTTTTAGTAGAGACAGGGTCTCACTGTGTTGCCCAGGCTGCTCTCAAGCTCCTGGGCTCAAGGGATCTTCCTGCCTTGGCCTCTCTAAGTGCTGGAATTACAGGCATGAGCCACCACCTCTGGCCAAAAGATTCTGTTTTAGAAAGCTTGTTCCAGTCTTTGAAATCAGTTGTTGGTGTTACCTTTAGGAGCCTCTTCAGTTAAACATCTTTAGATATGTCAACTTCCATATGACATAGGGAAGTTGACAGTTTTTTGATATTCATATATATTTTGTATTTTATGTTTTAAGTATGTTTATATGTCATGTTGTATCTTTATTATCGTTTTCTTTTACATGCTTTTAAAAATACATTTTGGTATGTTTTTCTATTTCTCCTCCTCCCCTCCAGCAGCCATTGACCAAGCTGGTTCAAAGCCTGGTCCAGGAGTGGACATTTGACTTTTAAACCTGCTGGCCAATAGGCTTTGTGACCTTTCAGGAAGTCCCTCTCCAAGGCCCCATTTTTCTTGAAGGTACAAACAATGCAGAGACCTGAGAACCTTTCCAAAGTCCTTGTCTCACAGGAATTATAGTTGCAATATTTTCTTCTTCCCTCTATTTTCTGCCTTTATCTAAGCTTCTCTTTCTCTATCCTCTTTCCATTATAGTCTGTTTGTACCTCCTTTATTCTATCTCTAGCACCACCTGTATTAATAAAAAAAGTGATGCCCTGGCCTCCAAAAAAAAAAAAAAAAAAAAAGGAGAAAGCCAAGTATCCCCAGAATATATTCTGAATGTCCTCTAAGATAATAGAAGGCCCCATTTTCAGTGGATTACATGGCTATTCAAAATAAAAGCTGCACTCTCGCTTGCTACTAATATATATTGCTCTGGAAAATAGAATTTAAATATAAGCAATGTGGACAGCTCTCAGTGTACTCTAGAAAGAAAGGACCACATCCTCCTCTTCACCTGTTTCGTTTTCCTTCTGTCTGGAAGATGATGTGTTTTTGAGCCCTCTTGAATGATGTGAAAAAAGGCAATAATCTATGGGTAGTGGAGCCACAAGATAAAATATAAATTTAATTTCAAAATTTGAGAAAACAACTCAAAAAAGCAAATTACACATGATTATTAATCATGAATATCTATCGAAGCAAAAATTTTAAAATAATAAACCAAATTAAACAATATGTAAAAAGGATCATATGCCATGGCTAAGTATGATTTATCCCAGAAATGCAAATTTCACTTTACATTTTAATTAAAAGTAATCAATGTGACCCACCCTATTATTAGAATAAAGGAGAAAGAAACATATGGTCATTTCAATAGATTTGAAAAAAATGTTGGATGTAATCAAAAGCATAATTATATTGAAAAACTCAACAAACTAGAAATATTTGGAAAATCCCACAAACTGATAAAAGTCAACTATAACAAATTTTTAGCTAATATCATAGTTAATGATGACAGATTGAATTTGTTCTCCAAAATATTAAAAACAAAGCATGAATGCCAAGTTTTACCACTACTATTCAGCATTGTATCCTAAGTCCTAGCTATTGCAATAAAGCAACAAAATGAAATAAAAGAAATGACGTCCAGAAAGGAAAAAGTAAGACTTACTTTTTTCCAAAGAATATAATTTCCTGTGTAGAAAATCCCAAGAAATAAAAAAAGAAATACTAGAACTAATACATAAATTTAATAAGGTTTCAGGAATACACGGGTTTTATTGAAATACCAAATGTATTCTTATTGATTAGCAGTAAATAAATCAAAATAGAACTTAAAGATAATTGCATTAGTAGTAGCTGCAAAAATTTTAAATACTTAGTGCTCAATGTAACCAAATGTACCAAGATCTCTATACAAGAAAATGAGAAAAAAATTTTTAAAAAACAAATAGGAAGGGATACTGTGCTCTTGAGTTGGGAGTTAGAAGGCTTGCTATAATCGAAAGAGCTATTCTCTCAAAATTGATATATATATACTCAAAATACTCCAATAAAAATTACCACTAGGTTTCTTTTAATAGAAATTAATAAGATTTTTGATATGGAGATGCAAAGGACTTATAACCAATAAATTGTTTTATAAAAAGAACAAATTGGACGAGTTACCCTACTTGATTTCAGACCATAATCAAGACAGTTTGGTAGTGACAAATGTTGAGTATATAGATCAATGGAACCATAATTAGTCCAGAAAAAGACTCAGATATGTATGGACCATTGATTTTCAGCAAAAATACCAAGGAAATTCAGGGAAAAGGAATGTCTTTTCAATAATTTTTGCTGTATCAACTGGTTATACAGATGAAAAAATTTACATTTGTTTACCTAACCGCATACATAAAAACTAACCCAATATATGTCGTAAGACTAAATATAAAACCAAAATTTGTACAATTTCTGGAGGAATACACAGGAGACAATTTTTGCAACCTTGGGTTAAGCAGCATATTCTCAGAACACAAAAAGCATGAACCATAGAAACAAAAAAGAAAAATAAAAGATAATCTGGACATTATCAAGGGTTTAAAAAACTTCTTCTTTGAAAGACACCGTTAAGAAAAGAAAAAGATAAGCCAGGATATTGGAAAAAGTAACATTTGTAACATTATATCTGACAAAGGACTTGCAACCAGAAGATATAAAGAACCTTTATGACTCAGTAAAAATAAATAAATAAATAAATAAATAAAAGAAAATGAGTAAAAGAGTTAATCAGATACCTCATAAAAGAAGCCCTGTAATCACATAAAATGATGCCCAATATCATTAATCATCACATAAGTGCAAATTAAGACCAAAATTTGACAACACCATATACATATTAGAATGACCAAAATTAAAATGACTGACCATACCTAGGGTCAATGAGAATCTGGAACATCTAGGACTCTGGTAAAATTCTCATGGAAACTTTAAATGGCTATATCCACTTTGGAAAATAGTTGGATTTGTTTGTTTGTTTGTTTTGAGATGGCATCCCATTCTGTCTCTAGGCTGGAGTGCAGTGGCACGATCTCGGCTCACTGCAACCTCCAACTCCCTGGTTCAAGCCATTCTCCTGCCTCAGCCTCCCAAGTAGCTGGGATTGCAGGCACACACCGCCTCATGCAGCTAATTTTTGTATTTTTAGTAGAGATGGGTTTTCACCATGTTGGCCAGGATGGTCTTGATCTCCTGACCTTGTGATCTGCCTGCCTCAGCCTCGCTGAGATTACAGGCATGAACCACCGTGCCTGGCCTGCACGGTTTTTTAAAATGGCAAATAATTAGTAATCAACCCAGTTAGTTTGTTTCTAGGTATACACTCCAGAGAAATGAAAACAGTATGTCCGCACAAAGAGTTATGCATGAATGTTCTTAGCAGCTTTATTTGTAGGAGCCCCCAAATGGAAACAACCCAAATGTCCATTAATAGTTAAATTAATTAAAAAATTGTAATATATGCATACAATGAAATACTAATCAGAAATAAAAAGAAAAAATCTGTAAATAAAAACGCAAAATATAGATGAATATCAAAATCATTATGCTGAGTAAAATAAACTAGATTTTAAAAGAATATACTTAGAAAAATGTACACCTGTAGTTGTCTAGGGTTAAAGATGAATGAAAAAGTACATTTTAAAAAGCCATAAGGAAACTTTTGGGGGTGGTGGTAATGTCCATTATCTTCATTATTGTGATGGTTTCACTTTCCAGGGATATATAAAAACATATAAAATTGTACCTTTTACATAAGTGCAATTTATTTTACTTCAACAGAAGTTCAATAAAGTTATAAAAATTGTGATAATTACAGTAAGATCATAGAGAAAAGATCATAAATAATTCTGTTGGGAAATTAAGAAAGGATTTCTGGATGAGGACCTATGCTTAGCTTAGTATAACCAGCCCAGTATTTTTTAGAAAACCACAGCTGAGCCACCAGATTTCTTAAAGTTATATACATATAGGTAAGCAAAAGTTTATCTCCTACTTTTAATGTGTCTATCAGAAGGAAAAGGACAAAAAATGGCTGCAGATCCCCAAGTCAGTTGAGCTTATGGGAACTGTTTCATTTCCTTCCTTTTTCAGATCTGAGGATACTTTGTGAGACAATACGTCACTGGTATATGTGAGGCTCCAGTAGTGGCAGAGATTTAGCCTGTTGCTGGAAAACTCAATGAGGCAAGAGGAGAGAAACTTCACCCCATTGGGAAAGGCTCAAATACTTAAGAACATACAGAAATCTCTACATATGACTAGATTTCTTTAGGTCATCCTGTTCAAGATTTTAAAAATGTGTCAGAAATGTTAAAAATAAACATTTTTTTTTTGTGTGTGTGTGTGTGTGTGAGTGTAACTGAAATAAGTTTGATATGTGTCCCACCCAAATCTCATCTTGAATTGTAATCCCCAGTATAGGAGGTGGGGCCCAGTAAGAGGGAATTGAATCATGGGGTGGATTTCTCATGAGTGGGGCCCAGTAAGAGGGAATTGAATCATGGGGTGGATTTCTCATGAGTGGGGCCCAGTAAGAGGGAATTGAATCATGGGGTGGATTTCTCATGAGTGGGGCCCAGTAAGAGGGAATTGAATCATGGGGTGGATTTCTCATGAGTGGGGCCCAGTAAGAGGGAATTGAATCATGGGGTGGATTTCTCATGAGTGGGGCCCAGTAAGAGGGAATTGAATCATGGGGTGGATTTCTCATGAGTGGGGCCCAGTAAGAGGGAATTGAATCATGGGGTGGATTTCTCATGAGTGGGGCCCAGTAAGAGGGAATTGAATCATGGGGTGGATTTCTCATGAGTGGGGCCCAGTAAGAGGGAACTGAATCATGGGGTGGATTTCTCATGAGTGGGGCCCAGTAAGAGGGAATTGAATCATGGGGTGGATTTCTCATGAGTGGTTTAGCACCATCCCCTTGATGCTGTACTCATGATGTGAGTGATTTCTCATTGGATCTGGTTGTTTTAAAGTATATGGCACTTACCCCCTCTCATTCCTGCTTTTCCTTCTGATGTGCCTGCTGTACCTTTGCATTCAGCCCCAGAAGCTGCTGCCACCATGCTTCCTGTACAGCTTGCAGAACTGTGAGTCAATTAAACCTCTTTTCTTATAAATTACCTGGTCTCAGGTATTTCTTTATAGCAGTGCAAGAATGGCCCAATACAGTAATTAATAAGTAATATTTTATAAAAAAATACATTACATCTGGACTTCAGGCAATAAATTTTGTCTATATGTCCTCTTTTGTTTATCTCTACCACTCCTCAATTTCTCTTTTCTTAGCAATGATTTCACCTCACTAGCTCTTCCCTGTTTCTTTCCAAAATCTCTGTCACTTTCATCGTCATGCTGTTATATTCCTTCAGCTAGTCCCTGTCACCTAGCAAGGTTTAACAAAATGAAAATCTATTCATTTTATCACAACTTTCCCACTTGGGATTTATTGATGTAGTTTGTCAACTTGATACTTGTTTCTTTCTGAGTAACCAATTGCTTCCTTCCTATAGGCTTAGAAATTTTTTTTCTTTACAACAGAATTTTAAAATTTCACTAAGCCATATTTTAGTATTTATAAAGCCACTTCCATGGGTAGTTTTTTTAATATTGTTTATCAAATATTTATTTCTTCTTAGATTATTTGACATAGATCTTTAGCAATGTGACTTTGGCCAATAAGGTGTGAAATAATCTAATAAGTGTCATTTTCTGGTGAAAGCCCTAATAATCTGTTTCTTTTTCCTGCTTTGTGGATCAATAGAGTGCAGACAATTCACAACTGCAAAATCGTGGTACCAACCCAAGTGCCCATCAATCGATGAGTGGATAAAGAAACTGTGGTGCATATATATATATATATAAAATATATATATATCACAAATAAATATCATATATGATATATATAATATATATTACATATAATGTGTATATGTATATAATGTACACATACACAATGCATTACATATACATTATATACAAATACATTATATATGATGTATTTGTATATAATGTATATAATATATGATATATAGATATATATATCATATATATATATAATGGGATACTACTTAGCCATATAAAGGAATGAATTAATAGCATTTGCAGTGAACTGGATGCTGAGATTGGAGGCTATTATTCTAAGTCAAGTAACTCAGGAATGGAAAGCCAAACTCCTATGTTCTCACTGATATGTGGGAGCTAAGCTATGAGGACGCAAAGGCATAAGAATAATACAATGGACTTTGTGGACTTGGGGGGAAGAATGGGAGGTAGGACGAAGGATAAAAGACAACACATATGGTGCAGTGTATACTGCTCAGATGATGGGTGCACCAGGATCTCAAAAATCACCACTAAAGAACTTAGTCATGTAACCAAATACCACCTGTACCCCAATAATTTATGGAAAAATAAAATAATAAAATAAACAAAAGAGTGCAGAGAGGGAGTCTCCAGCAGTTAGATCCACGAATGAGGATAACATAGAACAGAGTCCTCCACCACATGTACTGTATATAGCATGAGCAGGAAGTGATCCTTCACTGTTTTAACCCTCTGAATTTGGGGATCTGTGTTTTACATAAATGTAACTAGTCTATCCTCAGTAACAGGAATGATAGAATTTTGAATGTTTTTAAGCACTGTGGATTAAAATTTTTTTAAAAAATCCCAAGTAAGCCAAAAGCAAAACAAAATAAAAAACTTGAATCCTATTTCCAGCTCAGCCAAATTTTCTTTTATCTTATTTTTATTACTGTTTTTACTCTTAATAGTTCTTCCCCCACAGCAAAATCTAATTCTTAAATGGAGTCTCCAACCACTTATCTTAAAATTCATGTTTCTTTTATTGTTTTCATTTGTTTCTGCTTTCTCCCTGAATTATGATGTCATTTCTCAAGCTTGTCCTGCACTTATTTGTTTGTTTATTATCAATTACAATTAATTTAACAGTTTTCTCCTAATTTACATAAGTGAGTTTTTCCCCCTAGGGCAGATAATTGGGATATAATTTTTAGGAGTAACTATAAATGAACTACTGATATTTATAGATATTGTCAGAATGCCTTCCTGAATCTATATCAATTGATAACTCTTCTCTACATTTATAAGTACCAATTCTCCACATCTTTAATAACTTCAGACATAATACTTTTTCAGTTTAGTCAAACCGGTGGTAAAGATATTCCATGATTGTATATATTTTCTCTCTCTGATGTTAGTTAATACTTACATTTGTATGGTGTTTCACAATATCCTAGTTAGCCCTGTTTGCTATGATTTTTTTGTACCACTTTTCCTGTATATAAAGATTTTCTGTGACAGGCATGAGAATTAAGTTGATTCAGTGAATGTCTACCAATCCAAAACTATTTCTTGCTTTGTTGGATCTTGTGAACTCTTGTGTCTTGGTGGAAGTAGCAGTCTGATGTTAATGATTATGAGACACACAAGAAGAGAGAAGAAATAGATGTGGCTTTGCTCAGAAAATTTTCCCAGATATCTGGGAAGTCAAATGCCTAATTTTAATTTTTTAGTCAGTGCAGCACCTGCATCCGAGATTCCAGGACAATTATAAGAAGAGTAAAATTAGCCTATTATTTTCTTTTTCTTTTTTTTTTTTTTTTTGAGACCGAGTCTCACTCTGTCGCCCAGGCTGGAGTGCAGTGGCGTGATCTCGGCTCACTGCAAGCTCTGCCTCTCAGGTTCACGCCATTCTCCTGCCTCAGCCTCCCAAGTAGCTGGGACTACAGGCGGCCGCCACCACGCCTGGCTAATTTTTTGTATTTTTAGTGGAGACGGGGTTTCACCGTGTTAGCCAGGATGGTCTCAAGCTCCTGACCTCGTGATCCGCCTGCCTTGGCCTCCCAAAGTGCTGGGATTACAGGCATGAGCAACTGCGCCTGGCCTAGCCTATTATTTTCATAGAAATATACAGTGTTCTAGTTTAGAAATAGGATTGAGTGTAGTATAAACCTAAAAGTACTAACAGTTGGTGGAAATTTGTCTGGACTTCACTTTATGAATTTTCCTCATGGCTAATTTATAATTTTGTTCAATTCCATTTTTCAGCATTTCTTGAGTATTTTAATAGAACATTTGGAGGTTTAACATCAAATAAGTGAGTTGGTTAGTTATTAGTTCAAAAATTCTATTTCATCTGTTTTTCTCAGTAAGTCCCAGAACCTTTGTAATGATACACAACTGCAAACTGAGGCTTTCAAAATGCCATACCAAATATTCCAGAAGAGGAGAAAAATTACAAATAGAACTAATTTAAAAGTTTTTAATATTTTATTTTTTCTACTTATACTGACTTATTAAAAAATAAAATTGTAGATAATTATGGTGTATTACATGATATTTTGATATATGTATTCATTGCGAAATGATGATCACAGTCAAGCTAATTGACACATCCATCATCTCACATAGTTATCTTTTGTGTGTGTGTGTGTGTATGTGGTGAAAACATTTAAGATCAAGCTCTTGGCAGATTTCAAGTGTACAATACTACTGTATTAACTATAATGACCATGCTGTAGATCGTGAGATCTACGGAACTAGTTCATCCAGCAGAGCTGAAACTGTGTACCCTTTGACCAACATCTCCCCATTTCCCATACACTTTGTGACTTGGCAACAACCATTCTACTCTCTGCTTCTGTGAATTTGACTTTGTTTGTTTGTTTTGTTTTTGAGATGGAGTCTCACTCTGTTACCAGGCTGGAGTACAGTGGTGCCATCTCGGGTCACAGCAACCTCCACCTCCCGGGTCCAAGTGATTCTCCTGCCTCAGCCTCCCTAGTAGCTGGGAGTACAGGCGTATGCCACCACGCCCAGCTAATTTGTTTTTGTTTTTGTTTTTTGTATTTTTGGTATAGACAGAGTTTCACCATGTTGGTCAGGATGGTCTCAATCTCTTGACTTCGTGATCTGCCCCGCTGGGCCTCCCAAAGTGTTGGAATTACAGGCTGAGCCACCGCACCCAGCTGAGTTTGATTTTTATAGATTCCATAGATAGGTGAGATCATGGAGTATTTGCCTTTCTGTACTCAGCTTATTTCACTAGCATAATTTCTTCCAGATTCATCCATGTTGTCACAAATGACAAGATTTTCTTCCTTTCTAAGGATGAACACTATCTTATATATATGTACATATGTATATATGTGTCCATAGGTGTGTGTATATATATCTATGTATATATGTGACACTCTATCCTTTCATCCAACAGTGGACACTTACATTGATTCTGTATGTCAGCTATTGTGAATAATGCTGCAACGAACATGGAAGTGCAGATATCTCTTTAATAACTGATCTCATTTTTTCAGATATATACCAAAGAGTGGGACTGCTGAATCGAATAGCAATTTCATCTTAAAATTTTTGAGAAAACTCCACTGTTTTTCATAATGGCCATACCGATTTACATTCCAAACAAAAGTGTGCAAGGGTTCCCTTTTCTCCACATCCCCCACAATACTTTCTAACTTTTGATGTTTTGATAATATACATTCTAACGGGTGTGAGGTGATATATCATTGTGATTTTGATTTGCATATTCCTGATGATTAATGATGCTGAGTAGTTTTTTATACACCTGTTAGCAATTTGTACTTCTTCTTTAGACAAATGTCTATTCAGATCATTTGCCCATTTTAAATTCAGTTATTCATTTTTTGGTTATTGAGTTGTTTGAGTTATTTATATTTTTGGATATTAACCCCTTATCAGATACATGGTTAACAAATATTTTCTCTCATTCTGTAGGTTGTCTCTTTGCTCTGTTGATTCTTTTCCTTTCCTGTGCAAAAACGTTTTAGTTTGATGGAGTTTCATTTGTCTATTTTCGCATTTGTTGCCTATGCTTTTGGAATCATATCAAAAATTAGTTGCCTAAACCAATTTCAAGGAGCATTTTCCCTTGACACTAGTTTTACAGTGTCAGGTCTTAAATTTAATAATTTAATCTATTTTGAATTAATTTTGGTATATGGCATAGGATAAGAGCTTGATTTCATTTTCCTACATGTGGATATCCAGTTTTCCCAACACCATTTGTGGAGCAGATTGTCTTCCCCAGTGCAGGTTTTTGGCAACTTTGTCAAATATCTGTTGACCATAAGTGTGTGAGTTTATTTCTGGGCTCTCTGTTATGTTTATAGGCCTATTTGTCTGTTTTTAAAAGTACCCTACCTTTTTTTATTGCCATAGCTTTGTAATACATATTAAAATCAGGTACTGTGATACCTACAATTTTGTTCTTTCTACTCCAGATTGCTTTAGCTTTGGAAGGTGTTGGGTAGTTGTACAAAATCTGTAGGATTCTGTAAATATTTTGGGGAAAATGTTAATGTAATTTTGATAGTGATTGCATTGAATATATACATGGCTTTAGGTAGTAATATTACAATATTAATTCTCCTAATACATCAACATTGTATATCTTTCCATTTATTTATGTCTTCTTTAATTTTTTCATCAATATCTTATAGTTTTCAATATCTGAGTCTTTCAGCTCCTTGGTTAAATTTATTCCTAAGTATTTTATTCTTTTCATGGTACTGTAAATAGAATTTTCTTAATTTTTTTGGATAATTCCTCGTTAGTGTACAGAAACACAACTATTTTTTACAAGTGGATTTTCTATCCTGAATTTTTACTGAAATTATTTATTAGTTCTGGCTGGGCACAGTGGCTTATGCCTGTAATCCTAGCACTTTGGGAGGCCGAGGCAGGCAGATTTCTTGAGCTCAACAGTTCAAGACCAGCCTGGGCAACATGGTGAAACCCTGTCTCTACAAAACATACAAAAATTAGCTAGACATGGCGGCAAGCACCTGTAGTTCCAGCTACTTGAGAGGCTGAGGTGAGGAGATCACTTGATCTTGGAAGGTGGAGGTTGCAGTGAGTTTAGATTACACCACTGCACTCCAGCCTGGGTGACAGAGCCAGACCTTGTATAAGAAAAAAGAAAAGAAAAGAAAAGAAAATGAAAGGAAAGAAGAGAAGAAAGAGAAGAGAAGAGAAAAGAAAGGAAAGGAAAAAAGAAAGGAGGGAGGGAGGGACGGAAGGAAAGAAAGAAAAAGAAAGAAAGAAAGAGAGAAAGAGAGAGAGAAAGAAAGAGGAAAAGGAAAAGGGAAAGGGAAGAAGGAAGGAGGGAAGAAGGAAGGAAGGAGAAGAAAGAAAGAAAGAAAAGAAAAAGAGAAAGAAAAAGAAAGAAAGAAAGAATTAGTTCTAACAAGTGTTTTATTTAGTATTTCAGGTTTCTTTACATAAGATTATGTTGTCTGCAAACAACATAATTTTATTTATTCCTTTTTGAGTTGGATATTTTTATTTCTTTCTCTTGTTTAAATGTTCAGGTTAGGACCTCCAGTACTATGTTGAATAGAAATGCTGAGAGTGGGCATCCTTGTCTTGTTCCTGACTTTAGAGGAATGAGTTTAAACTCTTTGTCTTTGAGTATGATGTGAATTACGGGCTTGTCTTGTATGGCTTTTGTTGTGTTGAGGTACATTTCTTCTATACCTTGTTTGTTGAGAGTTTTTCATTATAGAAGTATGTTGAATTTTGTCAAATACTTTTCCTTTATCTATGGAGATGATCATGTAATTTTTGTTATTCAATTTATTAATGTCACATACTACATTGGTTGATTTGCATATATTGAATTATCCTTGCACTGCAGGGAGAAATCTTACTTGATCCTAAGTATGATTGCTGTAGTAATCTGCTGAATTTGGTTATCTGGTATTTTGCTGGGAAGATTTGCACATATAATCATCAGGAATACTGCCTTTAATTTTCTTTTCTTATAGTATCCTTTTCTGGCTTTGGGATATGGGTAATGCTGGCATCATAAAATGATTTTGTAAGTATTCCCATATCTTTAACTTATTTGGTGGAATTTGAAAAGGATTGGTATTAATTCTTCTTTAAATGCTTGGTGGAATGTGTACCTGTGGCCATCTGATCCTTGATTTCTCTCTGTTGGAAGCTTCTTCTTTTTTGTTTTTTTAATCCTAGTTAAATCTCCTTACTCATTACTTGTTAGTTCATATTTTCTATTTCTTCATGATTCACACTTGGTAGGTTGTATGTTTCTAGAAATGTATCCATTTATTCTACACTGTGTAATTTGTGGGCATGTATTTGCTCATAGTAGTCTCTGATGATCCTTTGTATTTCTGTGATGTCATTTGTAATTTCTTATTCCATTTATAATTTTATTTACTTGAGTCTTCTCTCTATTTTTCTAGGTTAGTCAAGCAACAGGTTTGTCAAATTTTTTTAGTTTTCCCCAAAACTAACTCTTAGTTTTATTGATCTTTGCAATTGGTTTTTAGGCTGTATTTCATTTATTTCTTATCTGATTTTTTATTTACGGTTTTCTATTAATTTTCGACTAATTTTTTCATCTTTTTCTTATTCCTTGAGGTATAATGTTGGGTAATTTATTTGATTTTTTTCTTTACTACAGGCATTTGTTGCTATAAACTTTCCTCATAACTGCTTTTGCTGCATCTCATAAGTTTTGGAATGTTGCGTTTTTATTTTCATTTGTCTCAAGTTTTTTTTATTTTCTTTTGATCTGTTCTTTGACATATCGGTTGTTCAAGAGCATGTTGTTTAATTTCCACGTTTGTGAATTTTTCTCTTGAAATTAATTTCTAGTTTTATATCATTGTGGTGAAAAAAAAAATACTTGATGTAATTCCCATCTTAAATTTGTTAAGACTGACTTTGTAGCCTAACCTGTGATATATACTATAGAATTGTCCATATGCACTTGAAAATAATGTGTATTCTGCTGCTGTTAGATGGAATGTTCTATATGTCTGTTAGGTCTATTAGGTCTGTAGTGTTATGTTTGCTGTTTCCTTATTGATTTTCTGTTTGGATAATCTATCTGTTGTTGAAAATTGAGTATCTACGTTCCTTACTATTATTGTTTTGCTATCTATTTCTTCATTTAGTTCTTCAATTATTTGATGCTTCGGTGTTGGGTGTACATATATTTGCAATTGTTATATCCTTTTGATGAACTGACCCCTTCATCATTCTATAGTGATCATCTTTGTCTCTTGAGACAGTTTTTTACAAAGTATTTTGTCTTATATAAGTAGGGCCACTCTTGCTCTCTTTTGGTTATTCATTTCCAAGAAATATATTTTTCTATCCCTTCACTTTTAGCCTACATAAGTCCTTAAAGCAGAAGTGAGTCTCTTGTAGGGGGCATATAGTTTAATCTTGATTTTTTAAATCTATTTGCTCATTTTGTTTTTTGTTTGGAAAATTTAATCCATTTACATTACTATTGATGGTTAAGAATTACTACTGCCATTTTGTTAGTTACTTTCTAATTGTTTTATGGTTTTTTGTTTGCTTTTTCTTCCTTTGTTGCTGCTTTTCTTTGTAATGTGATACTTAAAAAAAAATAGTGGTATGCTTTGATTATTTCCTCTTTTTCCCATGTAGATATATCAGTTTGTTCTCTGTGGTTACCATAGGGCTTACACAAAGCATCTTATAGTTTTAGTAGTTCATTTTAAGCTTATAACAAATTCACTTAAGCCGCATACAAAAACTCTCTATTTTAACTTCTTTCATCCACATATTTTATGTTATTGATGTCAAAATGTACATAGTTTTATATAGTGTATTCACTAACAAGTGATTATAGCCATCATTATTTTAATACTTTTGTCTTTTATCATTTACACTAGAGTAAGAAGTGATTTACGCACCATTATTGTATTATTTGTGTATTCTGAATTTGATTATATCCTTCCCTTTACAGTGAGTTTTATACTTTCATATGTTTTCATAGTTGTCATTGTCTTTTGATTTCAACCTGAAGAACTTCCCTAAGCATTTATTGTAAGGCAGCTCTAGTGGTGATGAACTACTACAGCTTTTGTTTGTTTGGGAAAGGCCTTATCACTCTCCTTACTTTGGAAGAACAGACTTGTCGCATGTAGTATGCTTCATGGCCACTTCTTTTCTTTCAGCACTTTGAATATAATGTCCCCCACCTCTAGCCTGCTATGTTTTTGCTGAAAAGTCTGCTGATAGCCTTCTGGGGGTTTACTTGTATATGATGGGTTTCTGTTCTTTTGCTGCTTTCAAAATTTTTACTTTGTCTTTGACTTTTGAGAATTTTAGTATAATGTATCTCAGTGAAGTTCTCTTTATATTTAACATATTTGGAGTTCTTTGAAATTCATAGATCTGGATGTTCATTTTCCTCTGCAGATTTGGCAAGTTTCCCATCATTGTTTTTAAAAATATTTTTGTACCTCTTTTTCTGCTCTTTCAATAATGCATATACTTGGTTGACTTGATGGTGACCCGTAATTTCTTCACTGTTTTTTGTCTGTTTGTTTTTCTGACTGGGTAATTTCTAATGGCCTGTCCGTGATTCACTAACAAATGATTATGGCCATCATTATTTTATTGTTTTTTTCTTTGAGCTTGCTTATTCTCTTTTCTGCTTAATTATATTGTGGTTATTTCCTTTAAAACATAGGGGTAGAGTAGCAATATAAAATATGCTTACATTTTCAAGCACCCTTTAACAGTGTATTAATTTTTAATAAAGATAAATCTACCAATAGAAGATATAAAGCAAGTTTTTCTGAGGCATAGGCGGTCTGATATCTTTAAATTTTATCTGGTTCAAATTCTCAGAAGTTCCCGATCCCTTAGAAAAAGCACGCAAAGAGAAATCAACCAAGCACAAAATAGTGCTTCTTACTGGCCCATTGGGCTAACAAATGAGGTGAATGTAAAATGCCACCTGACAAATTGCCACTCTTCTATTTGTACAGGTATTTGCATTGGATAGGCAGGCAAAGGTACATAAAGGGTCTTTACTTTATAATCTTGATTTGATGAAAGACCATTTTCTGCTGTTTTAGGGGTTAAGCATCACTTTCTCATACTGTTTAAAAAGACCCAGTGGACTCCTGAGAGCCAGAGTTGATGACCCCATTGTGCCTCCTTGCTCAGTGTTTGAGAAATACGAAGTACTCTAGAAATACTACTCTTACCAGGTGATTTGAAGTCCATACACGTCATGATTTTTTCATATAAGGTGCACCTTTATTGCCTATGATTATTTCCCAAAGAAAATATATTATTGTGGAAGGGGCTGAGAGTTAAGATTTTATTCTCATCTCTGCACAGACTCGGTTGACCTTATGCAAGTAATAAAGTCTCTGAGCTCTGGTTTTTCAGCTGTTAAATAGAAAGAATACCCTCTGCCTTTATAGTAGTATTGTCGTATATAAAAAAGGAAATGTAGAGGTAAAATTGCTTTAAAAGCAATTATGGGATGATACTTATAAATAACTATATTTCAGTATTAAAATTGTATACTTTCTGTGGTCTTACCAGATACATTCTGAAAAGTATGCAAGTAGTCTAACCTGTAAAATTAATGGAAGTTTGTTTATTCAGTGCCAAGAATATTCATTAGTATTCAATAAAGATGAAAGTAAATACCAAGTAAGGCAGTTAGCTATGAATTAGTTAAGCAATGAAAGAGGTAGCTCTATAAATAATTATTCTAATTATGGAACATAAACATCAAGGACCCATTAGACCCCTATACCCATATGGAAAGGGAAAAAATTCCTTCTTTGAGGGTTAGAATTAACACAGAACTTTTCTTGTACACTAAGAGTGGAAAATTCAGGGATCAATATGAAGAAGGAGACCAATTACAAAGCCAAAAATATATTTTTTAAAAAAGCTTAAAATCTTTTTATTGTGAGTTATAAGTATGTTGATCACTAAAAGCTATTGAAAGGGCTATTAATGCCAGGCAACTATGGTACCAAAACTAGATCTGAGTCTTCTAAAAATAAAAAATAATGTAAAATAAAATAATCATTTTCTTCTATCTTAGGAAAATATAATAATATTGAAAATTAAAGATTAATGAGGAAGGTCCCAATTACATGCAGGTGCTTTTATTTCACATCTTGAATATATTTACTGCAGTTGAAATCACTTAAAATGCTACTAATAAATAAAATTTTAACTTTTATATAAAACTATAAGTAACAGACATATAATATATTATCTTAGAGTACATTATCCACAATGAATGTGTAAATGTTTTTGTAATACAGTCATAATCAAGAAATTTCTGACTAGAAATAATCAAAAAGTAAACATGGAGCCTATAAAATAATTTTTTAAAGAACACAACATATGTTATAAAGGCCAATATACTGGCAAGTAGTAAAGCATGACACAAGCTCATTTATCCTGTAAGTTAAGGTTCATCCATATAGTTTTTAAGGCAGAAATTCTCACTAAGATCATATTTTGTTGATATAACAAAACTCAGCCAGTTGGACCCAGCATCATTCCTTGTCACGCTAATTACTGACTTTTTATCTATCCTAATCCGGGTTATAATGCGTTCCCTGGAAAGACTAGAAAGAAAGGTCTGGAGTAATGCTACTTCTGCAAAGTTTTCACCTATTTTTTAATCCTTTAAGGAGAACTATTTCTGTAAAGTCTTAGTAGATGGCAAAACTAGAAAATCATATATGAATACAGTGTTCTTGTCCCTTCTTGCATTGCTGTAAAGAAATCTCCTTACAGATATTGCTTTTTAAAATAAAAAGTTAAAAAAAACCATGACTTTTCTTTCCTATGAGGCATTGAGTGCAAACTTAGAATTTGTGACTCAAAGGTGGGTTTCTGCCTCTTGCTTATGTGTCTCCCTGCTTATCTCCTTACAGATATTGCTGTAAAGCAATATCTGAGTCTGGGTGATATGTAAAAAACAAGAGGTTTAATTGGCTCATGGTTCTATAGTCTGTACAGGAAGCATAGCTTCATCTGCTTCTGGGAAGGCCTTAGGAAGCTTACAATTATGGCAGCAGGTGAAGGGGGAGGAGGCAAGTCACAGGGCAAAAACAGGAGCAAGAGGGTGGGGGAAGACACACAGTTTTAAAGAACCAGATCTTGTGAGAATTTCTTCACTCTTGTGAGGACAGCACCAAGAGGATGGCACTAAACCATTTACAAGAAATTCACCCTCATGATCCAATCACCTCCCACCAGGCCTCGTGTCCAACACTGAGGATTACATTTCAACATGAGATTTGGCAGGCAACAATATCCAAACTGTATTATACAGAAGCCACACATGGTGGCTGTTTGATTCAGATTAACAAGTGTTCTTGTCCTAGTTGACATCACACTGACCTCAGTGAGCCACTTGGTAGACAAATATGCAGAAATCTTATCAATGTTAACTTTTAAGAGACCACCTCATCTCATGCCCGAAAAAGAGGGAAGTGGCAACCATGTTAACAGCAGATCCACTTTCTTTCTTTCCTTCTTTTGTTCCTTATCTCTTCAGTCATAAAGTCAAAACACTGTAGTACCTGTACTCTCAAGAGGAGACAATATTGCCCAAAAGGGGTGATAATTGCTTCTTTAGTGGGGAAGGGTCTTAAACATTACTCCAAGGAGTCACAGGACATAAACATATATAATAACATCTGTGGTATTTAAATTAAATGGGACGGGGTGATTAAGGGGGAAAAGGTCTAAAAGGCTCCTTCCTCCCATCTCAAGTAATGAATAAGTGGTTGAGAAATATTGTGCAGTATAACAGAGAAAAAATGACCAAACATTTATTCATCTTGTTCCAGTTTTAAAATTAAATAAAATGCAATTTAAAAGTATAAATGGCTAATGCAGTCTGAAAGTCACTAAGGTAGGCAATCAATGGGAAAAAAATTATGTGCTGAAGGGGATATAATTGCCATTTGTTAAAAATGATGAAAAGCTGATTATTCATTGGAATGTATAAACTGCTAAAAATAGGGCACTTTTAGAGCTGGAGTATGCATAATGCTATGGAATCCCTTCCTGGTGAAAGAATTGTGGCGTACAATGCAGTAAGTGAATAAGTTGGTATTTGATTTGTTTAGGGGATGAATCATGAGAGAAGAGTCCAGAACCAGAGACATCCCCAGGTAGTATTAACTGGGGCAGGGAGACACATAGGCAAGAGGCAGAAACCCACCTTTGAGTCACAAATTCTAAGTTTGCACTCAATGCCTCATAGGAAAGAAAAGTCATGGACATTCCAATCAGAATGTCCTGTGGTCTCCTTGCAGCTTATTGTTTTGGTACCATTGAGTGGAGACTTAAGTTCAGAAATCTGTTTGGGTGTTTCCTGATCAGCAAGTTACAACATGAATCTTGGTGAGTTTTAACTTTTGCAAGCGAAGCATAATGATGATTGAGATTGAAAGATCAAATCATTGCATTAATGTTTGAACTGTGATATTAAACTAAAGTCTTAGGAGCTATTCAACACAGACTAATAATGGCTTAAAAAAATCCATCCTGGGGCTGGGCACGGTGGCTTGCACTTGTAATCCCAGCACTTTGGGAGGCTGAAGCGGATGGATCACAAGGTCAGGAGTTCAAGAACAGCCTAGCCAAGATGGTGAAACCCTGTCTCTACTAAAACTACAAAAATTAGCTGGGCGTGGTGGCAGGCACCTGTAATCCCAGCTACTCAGGAGGCGGAGGCAGGAGAATCACTTGAACCTAGGCCTCAGAGGAGTAAGCTGAGATCACACCACTGCACTCCAGCCTGGGTGACAGAGTAAAACTTCGTCTCAAAAAAAAAAAAAAAAAAAATCCACCTTGGCCAGGAGCGGTGGCTCACGCCTGTAATCCCAGCACTTTGGGAGGCTGAGGTGGTGGATCACGAGGTCAGGAGTTCGAGACCAGCCTGACCAACATGGTGAAACTCTGTCTCTACTAAAAATACAAAAATGAGCCAGGCACGGTGGCGCACACACCTGTAACCCCAGCTACTCAGGAGGCTAAGGCAGGAGAATCCCTTGAACCCGGGAGGTGGAGATTGCAGTGAGCCAAGATAGTGCCATTGCACTCCAGCCTGAGCGACAGAGTGAGACTCCGTCTCAAAAAAAAAAAAAATTCCAACGTAATAAATCTGCCACTCCAAGGAAATTTCTGTGCTATAAGAACGTCATTGCCTCCTACCATTGTCCATGGATTAGCCATGATCCAAGAGCCAGTCAGAATAACAAAAATTGGGGACAACCAAGGCTTCTGATTCTACATCATATTTTCCTGTCCCTTTGATGAAAAGGCTTATAAATAAAAATATAGAAACAAAAAGACTCTGTTGTCAAACTCCCCACCTGACATGTCCATTTGGATGTTTATTGGATGTCTAAATAAACATATTCAAAACTGAATTCCTTACATTCTGCCTTCTAAATTTGATATTTTTGTCATCTTCCTCATATCTGTTAATGATGGCTCTTCTTCTAGCTGATCAGGCCAAAATCCTTGCTTTTAATCTTGACTTTCCTTTCATATACTGTATTGAGTTCCTTATAAAAATCCATAGATTTTACCTTCAAAATATGTCCTAAATTTGTCACTTATTCACACTCCCACTGTGACTCTCTGGTCTATGCCACCATCAGCTCTCACCTCTATGGTTGCCTTTGTCTCCTATCCAGTTTTTTGTTTCTACCTTTGCCCACTCAAATCTGTTTTAAACAGAGAAGCCAAATGATCTGTTAAAACATGTCAGATCATGTTACTCCTTGGCTCAAAACTCACGAATAGCTTCCATCTGAGAGTAAAAGTGAAATTCTTACTATGCCCTTAATCCTGTTCCCCCAGACACACACACATGCCTCATCTCTTAATATTCTTCTCTTAGCTCTCTCCAGTCTGGTTCCACCACCTTCCTTGCTGTTTCTCAGACTTTCCAGGGAGGGTCCTGTCTCAAACCTTTGCATTTGCTATTCCCTCTTCCTGGGCTGATCTACTCTCAGATTCCTTCATGGCTCATTCCCCCTCTTCCATCATGCTTTTTCTCAAAAATCACCTTCTTGTCTACTCTAAAATCTTATTCTCCCTCCCTGAGCACCATCTCACTCATGGAATTTTATCCCCTTTTCCACACTTTAATATTTAATTTCTTTCTAAAAGGTATACATTTTTTTCTGTCTCATTTCTGCCAGTTTTCTACTACTGGCATGAGAAAGGGAAATTTTGTTTATTTCATTCAATATGAATCTCCATCACCTAGACCTGTGTCTGCCACATAACTGACACTCTAAATAATCATCAAATAAATAAATATATTTTTAACAATTCTCTTTATTAGCCCTGATTCTAAAGTTTGTCCAGTTCATCTAGCAGATGAGAATGCAGAATTTGGAGACATTTTTAAAAGTGATTTTATTAATTTTGATCTGCCTTATCTATGTTTCAGCTCTCTGTAGAGGGACTTCAATTGCATTAATTCAGGGCTTGTTCCAAGTAGACAACTTTTTTAATCCTGTTGGGCTATGAGTCAATTCCTGGGTCTAATTACCTCTTTCTATTAGGTTCTATTTCACCTGTTTGGAGTCAAGAAAACTGGAGTCGCTTTGATTGCCTTTACCAAATTCCATCCAGAACATCAGGAAAAGACTCCCCTGTGGTCTTACAAGAAGGTTAGATTACAGTGTTCAACTACCCTAGGCTACACAATTTAACTGCATTAGCAATTGCTTTTATTTCCATTTTTTTTTTCTGCTGCTGGGGAGAAATTATGCCTTTGGGTTTTGAAACTGGCTGATGTAGCCAGAGTCTTCCACCTGCTCCCTCATGTCCTGCAACTGCTGCATATAACACAGAAATTTTCGGGCCAGTGAACCCTAGCTGTAAATACCTCCCTGTGTTTGTGATTGGAGCAGGTGAGGACCACAGCTGACACTCAGAAGAAACAGGAAGGACTGAGAGGAGCACAGATGCTATAAAGAGGTCTCACTTTGTTAAGTCTTAGAGAACCTGGCAGATGGGCTGGGCTTGAAAGGGGAAATGGTACAGATCTGGTTCAGAAGCTGTACTGAGCTAAGAGATTCAGAGACTGGATCATGTTAGACTGCATGTTTATCCAGAATTATCTGAGATTACATAGCCAGGGAGTAAAATCTGAATTGTGATCACAAAGAACATCTGTGGTCATAGCCAGGAAAACAATGCTGAGCTCCAAATATTTTGAGTGAAGACAGAAATGGAAGAAGAAGAAGAAATCAAATGGGTAGTGGTGCATAGCAAAGGTAGTGCAGGCAGTTCATAACTAAGAATGTGAATCATGAGAGGGTGCTCGGTACCTGCTTTTACAAATACGAGCATTATATAAGCATATTTATCCTTTTAGTAATGACAGAAATAAGCAATTCCCTCCTGGAATTAGGTGGGGCAGTGCCACTATTTCTGAAAAACCATTACCTGAAGTCTAGTATCTCAGTGGTTGACCTCCAATGGATACAGAGGGTACAAATCCACTGTAATCTTGGTAGAAAGCTTTCATAGGAGGCTGCATGACTGCATATAAGATGTATTTTCCCTTTAATATCAGGCAGGTTCCCAAAATCTCCCATAGTTCTGCCCCCTTAACACTGAATAAACTGATTGATCAAAGCATTTTGCACAAGGAACCCAAGAAGCATTCTATCAAAGTTACGAGAGGTATTGATGGAGTCTAGGGCAGTGGCGAAAACTGCAGATTGAATTTTCATCCTATGCCTGACCATTAATTGTGTGACCCATGCTTTCAGTTTGCCAAATAACATTTTTGCCCAGTACCAGTACCTTGGTGATCAAGTGTAAGAATTTCACAGCTCCATTCGAGCTTTTCCTTGGCTAGTTATGTGGGCTTGACATTCACAGCACTTTGGTTCTGTCAGAAATAGCATCCAGGAGCTAAAGGAGAACAGAGGAGAATACTCCCTGAAGGTGATCTAAGTGCATGTAGCTTATGGGGTAATATAAACAGCATTTAGGCATTGAGTTAATGTTGTCATAGAAAGGGTAATGGTCAACACTGCAGGTCTGGTTCAGACTTTTTGTGTCAAAATCCTTTTTAGCCACTACTTGACCTTGGTCAAGTCATTTTTAGACATTTAGCCACTTAGTCCTTTTTATCCATGAAGTCACTAGTTGATGTGGTCAAGTCATTATTGGATACGTATGAAAGGAATCCAATAATCAAGTGTGAATTCAACATTAAAAATGAGAAAACTGGGAACATATTCAGGAGCCAAGGAAGAATATCAGGAGACATTTAAGGTGTGGTTCAATGCTAAACTGAGCTGAAAGCATGAGATTCAGGGTTGATGTCTCAATTTTACATGGTGCCAGTTCTATACCACCATCTGTAGCACCATGGTGCCCGTTCTGTGCACCATCTGTGCAAGATGTAGCAGTTTAATGAACCTAAAAGTTGACATATAGAAGAGTTAAGTATATGCAACCAATAATATGTACTAGCATCCGTGGAGCCTTTACATATGTGCCAGGTACTATGCTAAGTTAATGATACCAGTTCTGTGAGATAAATACAATTATTCTCATTTTATGAATAATTGATATTTAAAATTTTAAGTAATTTTCCCAAGGCCTACAGCTAGCTTTGAAAAATCCAGGAAAAAACACAAGACAGTCTGATTCAAAATCCCATGTTCATAGTCACTAGAGCATACCACATCATACCATGGCACGGAACAAAAGGCAAGTGGCAATTGTTAGAAATTTGATCAGAAAAGTCACATGTGTCTTGTAATTGAGAGAAGGTGGTTATGACATGGGCTTTGTGTCCCAAAAATCTACTGTTTTTCCTATGAACCAATCAGAAACAAGAGTGCTATTATCAGAGAACTATTAAAGGTAAGCTCATTTCATGTTCTATGTTTCTCATCTGTAAATGAATATAGATGCTCATTTTTAACAATGACTGTCTCTTCTAATATTTTCACAAGTGTTAGGCAGGTGTTATCCTATAAATAAAATATAACTAGGAAAATAAGAGGCTAAAAGTTAATAGCTTTGAGTTGAAGCATCAGTCACCCCTCTAGAAGAACAAAAACACAGAGAAGATACCCTAGAGAGAAAAAATAACAAAACCAAAGTCTCGGGGTCTGAGTTCCAGTGGAGGAAAACACAACTTCAGGTCAAGTAGGGCATTTTAAGGGAGGGAGAAAGGAGGAGAAATGAGAGAAGAAAACTGACTGAGCAGACTGAGCTCCTTGAAAAATTATTATTTCAACTACCAGTATATGGTAGCAATTAAGAATGTGGACTTTGATGTCAGCCACACTTATTCATACAATATTTCTTTTAAAAGAGTTCCTGGAGGTTAGAGAGGTTCCTAAAGAATTTTATTATGAAATGGAAAAGGTTATGGTCATTGAGACAAAACTGGAACATTTCTCTCCGATATATACATTCACTAAATCACATACATAAACACTCAAATACATTTATAATAATTTTCAATACCAATATTTTACTAAGAGTATGCTATTAGCTTCTTTTTAGCTATAATTTATCATCATTTCCCAAATATTTTTTTATCAAGCCTTTTTCAGGATGGATAATAGCGAAATATATTTTTAGCTAATCCAGTGAACTTGTTTTTTTTTTGGACAGAATTTTGCTCTTATTGCCCTGGCTGCAGTGCAATGGCATGCTCTTGGCTCACCGCAACCTCCACCTCCCAGGTTCAAGCAATTCTCCTGCCTCAGCCTCCCGAGTAGCTGGGATTACAGGCATGTGCCACCAAGTCCAGCTAATTTTGTTTTTTAGTAGAGACTGGGTTTCTCCATGTTGGTCAGGCTGGTCTCAAACTTCCGACTTCAGGTGATACACCCTCCTCATCCTCCCAAAGTGCTGGGATTACAGGTGTGAGCCACCGCACCCAGCTGCTAATCCAGTAAACTTCTAAAAAGTGATGCTCATCCTTATCCAGAGGGCCACTTCAGTATTCCAACAGATGTTTTGTCTTTTTAAAAATGAGGCAAACATAAATTAACTCCTGTCCCATGCAGCTGTTTGTGAGAACTCTGACTGGCCTGGGGACACAACTGTTGACCTCATTGCCCTGTGGTATTTCCAAGATAACCAGCTCTCCTGCATCTGCTCAAAAGGTCTCCATTTGGGGAACTTGCCCTTTCCCGTACACTGTCTTTGTTTGTTCTCAACTTTCAGCTTTCAGTCGTGGATTCAATTCTTGAGTTTATTGCCAATACCTTCACATTTACATTTCAGGATTAAGCAATTTTCTGTGTAACTGCTGTTTCTCCCTTCTGAAATTTATCTTAGTAATTGCTTAATTCATTTTTTTTCAAACCTATGTCTATGCAGAACTTCATGCCAAAATCCATTCATTTGGATCTCACAACTGATATTTTCTTTTCTTTTTTTTTCTTTTTTTTTTGAGACTGAGTCCCGCTCTGTCACCCAGGCTGGACTGCAGTGGCATGATCTTGGCTCACTGCAACCTCTGCCTCCTGCGTTCAAGTGATTCTCCTGCCTCAGCCTCCTGAGTAGCTGGGATTACAGGTGCCCGCCACCACACCTGGCTAATTTTTGTATTTTTAGTAGAGACAGGGTTTCACCATGTTGGTCAGGGTGGTCTCGAACTCCTGACCTCATGATCCACCCACCTCAGCCTCCCAACGTGCTGGGATTACAGGTGTGAGCCTCACAATTGATTTCTAGTAGATGTATCTTTGATTCCTATCCCAGTCATACTCCTAACCTTATCACCTGGCTGCATGTATTCCTTGCCTATTTTCATTCTAGGGAGAGCACCTTATGACTTAATATGAAAACATATATTACATATATATAGTCCAACTGCCACCAATATATGCATTCCTGCTAAAGAAAGTATAATGCATTAACTCTCCTAAATAATTTTATATTTTAACAAGGGATCGTATGTCCTGCAACTCAGAGAAACCACTTTCTGCTTCTAGCTATAAAGTATCAAGCATTCACAAACAGCAGCAAGTTATTTCACTTATATGCATTTCATTCACTCAACAAACCTCTATGAAACACTAACTCTGAGTCTGGTCTTTGGAGAGGCTACTATGTGCCTGGTATGCTGTTGCATTCTTTTTAGCTGTAACTTCCTCCTGGTGTTAGGAGAGTTTGGCATGCTGTTGTAAAAGAAGCTAAGAAATAATACAAGTGTTGCATAAAGATTCTAATATTTTCTGAAATTTGAATGACTTTTCTCTACAAATACACTGTGCTTTCTGAGATTCTCTCCTAATCAGAAATTTTCTTTTGTTCTGAGAATAGGATAAGCTTTATAATGCTAGCAAGATATCTTGTGATTTCCTAATTAGGAGGACTACAGAAGCTGATACTAAATATTGAGAATCCTTTAATGTCTATAGTGCTGCAGTATGATAGGCCAAATCATAAGTCATGATTTTTGTGTTAGGTCAAAATGGACAGGGTCGAAGTTAAATCACATATTCTAGAGACAGCTATGCTGGATTCAGATGGTGCTTAGCTTCACCATCTGCTATTTCCATAACTATCTCTGTTTTAATTTCCTTATTTGTAAAATTGGAGAAATAGTAATACCCATAAGTAGGTTGTTATGAGGACTATATAAGTCAGCATATTCACAGTGCTTGGTACAATGCCTTGCACACAGCAAGTGCTATATGTGTTTGCAGTTATTACTATTAAATAAATAACCTGCTGAAGAGTACATTTCAAAACACAAATCCCTCAGTGACCTCTATTATCAAATTGGAGGTGTATTTTCTTCATGACAAAATATAAGCCTGGAGATACGACAAAAAGACATTTTAAAATTCAGTAAACCTCTTAAAATTACATGGGTAAAGAAAGAAGAGAATAATAATTTTCTGATGAAGTATTAAAACAATGCTGAAATCAAGTCATTGAATATGGATGTGAAAGTAGCCAGCGTTGTTTTTCTGTTTGACAAACAAGACTAGAGGGAGAAAAAAGACAGCAAAAACAGATCACAGCTCTGTGTACTGAGAAGTAACTCAGAGTTTATTATGCACCCCTCTCCAAATCCCTCAGCAGAATAATAACACTGAGTGCTTAGATTCTGCATCCTGCCAGTGTCTAGAAATAAACAAAGTGTTGTGGGCTGAAGGGAAAGATAGAAGCAGAGATGTTACAGAAGTAAAGACTGAAGCATAAAATAACAAGAAGGGCAGCATTATGAAAACAACTTAATTCTTGCAAGACTCTTTCAGTGTCTTGGAAGTATTAGCAGCCTTTAATGAGAGTGATAACACAAGGATTGACTTCTCTATAGTATCTCATTCACCTGATTTCTTGCATTATAGTTGCTCCTTTGTGTTAATGCATTGATTCCACTAAAATAGTCTTATAAAAATGTTCCTTACCTGTAGGAGACAAGGACCAATAATGCTAGGTCCCTTTTCAAGTCTAGTTAATGCTGGAAATCCTTATTTTGTGTGTGTGTGTGATTACACAACTCCCGAGATGGAGCTCTGTCTTTGAAATACCTTCCCTACCTGCTTATTCTCACTGTCATTTTTCCCTGATTAGTAAAACACAGATGTCCCTACAACAGGCAACTAATTGGTTTAACTTTTTCCTAATGGAAATATTGTCATGGAGTATAAGAGGATGTGAGGTAACAGTATGAGAGCATATGTGGACATGAAGTGGGTGTCATGGAGACAGGAATGAGTACTGCAAAGAAGGCAGAGATTCCTATAGGAAACCATTTGGTGATTTCTCAAAGATCTAAACATGAACTTACAATATGACCCAGCAATTCCATTATTTGGCATATACCCAAAGGAAAATCAATTATTCTACCAAAAAAACAGCCACGCTCATATGCTTATCACAGCACTACTCACAATAGCACGATGACAGAATGAACCCAGGTGCCTATCAACTGTGTAGTAAATAAACAAAATTTGGTGCATATACATCACGGACTACTACACAGCCATCAAAAGCCAAAATCATGTTTTTTTGCAGCAATATGGATGCAGATGGAGGCCACTATCCTAGGTGAATTAATGCAGAAACAGAAAACTAAATACTTCATGTTCTCACTTGTGAATGAGAGCTAAACATTGGGTACGCATAGACATAAAGATGGAAATAATCGATACTGGGGACCACTAGAGGGAGGAGGAAGAGACAGGGCAAGGGTTGAAAAACTATCTATTGAATACTATAGTGACTATTTGAGTGATGGGTTCAATAGAAGTCCAAACTCCAGCATTCTACTATACATCCATGTAACAAACCTGTATCCCTGGTTTTAAGCCCTAAAAAAAAGAAGGTGGATCTGGTAAGGAAACACATTCCATACTCCAATATTAGCTCTGCCAAGGATGTGATTAAGCCAGTTTCTACCAGCTCTGGTGAGCCAGTTGTGGACATCTTTTCCCAACTCCATGTTAGTTACAATGGGGACAGCTTGAAGTTTTGAGGGTATTTACATCATAAAAATTGGCTAATGGTGGCTGGGTGCGGTGGCTCACGCCTGTAATCCCAGCACTTTGGGAGGTCGAGGCAGGTGGATCACCTCAGGTCAGGAGTTCAAGACCAGTCTGACCAACAAGGAAAAACCCCTTCTCTGCTAAAAATACAAAATTAGCCAGGTGTGGTGGTGCATGCCTGTAATCCCAGCTACTCAGGAGGCTGAGGCAGGAGAATTGCTTGAATCCAGGGGACAGAGGGCAGAGGTTGCAGTGAGCTGAGATGGTGCCATTGCACTCCAGCCTGGGCAACAAGAGCTAAACTCCATCTAAAAGAAAAACAAACAAAAAAAATTGGCCAATGCTACAAATCAGGCCTTTTAAAAAAAAAGAAAAGAAAAAAGAAAAAAAAAAGAATACGAGTTTATGGCTAGTGATAAATAACATGCCTGTAAGCTACCATGAACACTCTAACCTGGGTTATTCTGAGAAATAAAACACAGGACAGATAAATATTAAATAGGCCACAACTTATTTAGAAATGGAAATATGCTATTATTTTGAAGATCAAATCTCACTATTCCAAAAATAAATCTTTGTACTTTCTCTATTATATCTTATATTCTATATACTTATATGTCTGTCTTGTCCATGACATTGTGAATTTCTTACGGGTAGAACTGTGTATGATTTACTTCATTTATCTAGTGTTTAGTAATATTTAACAGACTCCTGAAGATTTCCAGACTTGCCATTTTTTTTATTTCTTTGCTTTTAACAGAACGGAAATATTACCTGTTTCAAAAATGTCTTGGGATTACTATAAGAATCAAACAATAGAACGTAAATGCCAGCCACTGTCCTAGGTAGAAACCTTTCATATAATTTCTAAAGTATCCTGTAAAATGCAGAACATGATATGAATATCAGTATTTATTAGTTGTTCTTTGGAGACAGCCAGATAGTATAAAGAATCAGAGGAACTTTGGTTAAAACAATGACTTGCCACTTTCTAACTGTAAAACCTTTAGGAAAATCACTTAATGATTTTGAGCCTGTTCCACACTTTATAAAAGAGATAGATAAAACATAGCCGACAGGGTGAACATGAAAATTATTTTATATATGAAGCTCCTACCCAGCAGTTGCTGGCATATAGTAGATGCCTCACAAATGTTCATCCTTTCCCTATTTCTCTAGTAATAGACATTTATACATGCAAAACTGTCTAATGATGTTCATCTCAGTAATTTCTATTATAATGATCATCTTTGTCTTTATCACTGCAGTGTCTATGGACAAGATGCTTTTCACAATCATTCTATCTAAACAACTAATCTTTTAGAGGAGGTCCAAATCTAGCGCACTTTAGATGCATTTTTGTTCTATAAAGAAAAAACACAATTCCAGTCAATTAATTACCACCATCATCACACCAGCTGATGAATGTCTTCCAGCAAAAGCCTTTGGGAAGTTTTAGACAGAGCATAACTTAATTTTTGCAGTACTGTTGTTAAAACTCCCCTGCCATCCTCTTTCACAATGTTTAGCATAATGTGATGTTCACAGAGTCAGAGGCTGCTTGCATTAAGTTTGTGCAATGCACAGAAGATGCCTCCTAAAACCACCTTGGGCATCAACCTGTGTGTGCTGGAGAGATAGATAGTTTTCCTCTATCTGAGTATAATTTGTGAATTGAGCCAAGTGAAGCTTAGGGCTCTCATCTTTTCCAAGCAAGTATATTAAACTTAGGCCAGAGCAGAGGAAAGAAGTTTTTCCAGACATCTCTATGGGTGCCATTTTTGGGCCTTTGCTTTACTTGTGGAAATATTCACTCTGAATTATCTAACAGTACCATTTTTGAAACACGCATATGGAATTTGGTCTGAAAACTGATTCCTCTTTCATGCATATTTCCTAGACCTTTGGACTCAGTGACAACCTGCTTTAACTAAACTTCAAAATTAGGAAAGAGAATATCTTACATGTCATAATCTATGTAAAGAGAGGCACATCAGGTAGCTTTAAAAAAGGTTATGATAAGATGCTGATAGAGTTACACAGATGGAATGTTTACAAGCAAACTTTATCAATTTGAAAACAAACAACTTTCTCAGTTTGCAAAAAGGCAACCTCATCTTGTTTTTTCAGTAGCAATCAAAATTTCTTAGAGAAGTACCTTAATTCTTGCATGTAAATGCTTGGATTCATCTTGGCTCTTTGGGGCTTCCAAGATCCTTACATATAGAATAACTTGCTTATGCATCTGACTCCTTCATCAGGCTGTAAACCTCCTCTAGGCTAGAAGCTGTAATAGTTTCATTTTCCTACTGTCTGGACCTTGCATGGTGACTGATACATAGTAGGCACTCAAAAATATTCTTCAGTTCACTCTTCCTCCTAAACCCAAGTCCAAAAGGAAAGGTCAGGGGTCGGGGAAAGCTGACATCCAACAATAATTTTGCACAAATCTTATTCAACCAGGTGAGTGAAGCTGTGATCACTTATATCTGCAATTTCTTCCAGTCGATAGTTGCCTCCCAGGGCACCTCGGGACTAATTAGATTAACTGTTACTGTCAGGGATATCTAATTGCTTGCATTGAAGAAAGCAAATTGCAGACAGTAGATATCAGTGTAAAATCAAACAGAAAACAGGTGTTTGCTAATTAAAACTGAGATTTTAATGAATGACCCATGCAGTTTTGGTGAATAAATACCACTCTTGGCATCTGTTGTATAATTAGTTTCTCTCTCTCTCCTTTCTATCTCTGTCTCTCTCTTGTTTACACTCTCTGTCTTTCACTCTCTCCCTCTCCCCTTTTCTACCCTCTCAGATCCACTCTGTCAACATCATACTTGTAAATAACTGTGAAATGACAAATTTTTAAAATGCAGCCTAGTAATCTACTTTTTTCAAAGGGACAAAAACAGATGTTTCTGTCCAGGTAACTGTAAACAAATTAAGAAACTGAAAAGAAGTACCACCAATTTATATTCATACGTATGCATTTATCTAATAGTGTATACATTAAAGACAATAATATATTGATAAAAGAGGTGACAAGACTAAAAGTATGGGGAAAGATCACATTAAAACATTTTAAGGCACAAATTGGTCATGGTACCCTGGAGGAAGCTTATTATGGGTTCTGGTTCATCTACCATTTGAGGATTTATTTTGAGTTAATTGGGCTTCCTGCAGAGATGACCTCAGCTGATGGATGCTGGGTTTTGCTTTTTGATCCAGTTGAAAATGAAAGAGGAAAACTAATTTAAAAATATAATAATAAGTCTATGGAATGTGCCTGGTCAGCAGGTTTAACTGTATAGAAATGCTTCATTTTTAAGAAACCTAAAATGAGAGAACCAACTTAGAATGACTTAATAGACATGAAAGAAAGGACATGAAAAAATGCCAGGGTATTTTGTTGACATCATTGTGGAAACATTTTCACAACATTTATTTGTGTGTGTGTGAGAGTGCTCTAAGTGAATTTCTAGTTGTAGCTATTTTATGCAATTAAACCTGGCTGCCATATCTTGGTTACAGGAGCCCTGAGGATTTGGCAAAGCTATTGAGGGCTGTGTCAATTAATAAACAATTGAATATGTTGAAATCTAAGAAAATCAAGTGGCTTCTGGACAAGACTCCTTACTTATTCTAAGGTGTTGGATCAAAAGGCCATAAGGTAAGCATGTGATAAGCATATCCTACATATTGGAGACTTCTGAGCATGCCACCATTTTATTTCAAGAATAGGACCCATTTAAGCACAGCCATGAAAACAGAATATGCACCAACGCCCTTCATCAAATGTTTTGGATAATATCTGAGAAACTTGATGTCATACTTGAATTTCTTTCTAGTGAAGATATATTCTTAGAAAACTCAATAGGAGTGATGGGGACAGAAGGCAGAGAAATTCTAGGAGGAAAATAACAGTTCCCCAGTGAAAACCCCACCCCCAAGCCAAAAAGCCTGAAACCACGGCCAAAAGTGATAACTTATATCCCTGTTTTCCAGCTCGAATGTTGCCTTTTCCTAAACCACCCACGGCCCTGCCCTGCACCATCCTGTGCCTATAAAAACCCGACTCACCTGGTAGATGGGACTACAGCTGGACGTCAAAGAGAAGCGGCTTGACTTCAGAGGGATAGCCTGACAGTGTTAACTTCAGAGAAGAATCCGGCTGGACTTCAGGGGAAGATTACCTAACCACCCCCCAACCCATCCCCTTTTCAGTTCCCCTTCCCGCTGAGAGCCACTGTCATCCGCAATAAAATCCCTCACATTTATCATCCTTCAATTCGTTTGTGCAACCTCATTTTTCCTGGATGCGGGACAAGAGCTCGGGAGCCATGAGTGTGGATACCAAAGACTGTCACACTGGCCCTTTGCCCTTGCTGGTGCCCCATGCAACAAGGCAAAGGGCCCACTGAACTGTTAACATTTAAGCCATCCACGGATGGCAGAGCTAAAAGAGCGCTGTAACCCGCCCTCTGGGGCTTCGCGGCTTACAGGCACCCCCACATGGATGCTTCTGAGGGGGTCCTGCACAGAGTGTGCCAAAGCGGCCGGCCAGTTCCAATTGTCCTGCACTCCAATTCCTGCCTCATTTGCTCGTGGACTCCCTCCTGTCAGGAGCTGAGAGCGGCAGGCTGACTAAACGAGGCACCCCTGTTGCGAGTCCCACGAGGGGTCAGGGAAATATCCTGCTTCAGAAGTGATTCTCTCTTCCGAAATCAAAAAGACATAAAGCATATAACACACAGTTATACATACATACACTTTTGTTTTTAAATTATACTTTAAGTTCTAGGGTACATGTGAACAACATGCAGGTTTGTTACATATGTATACATGTGCCATGTTGGTGTGCTGCAACCATTAGCTCGTAATTTACATTAGATATATCTCCTAATGCTATCCCTCCCCCCACCCCCAGAAAAGCCCCCGAACATACAGTTTTTAGAAGCGTTATTTTGTGTGTAGGGGGTCGATGGGTGTGTGTATGTGTGGATGTGTGTGTAGCAACTCTTTATGTGTATGTCCAAAATATCAACTGGCATAAATGACTGTGGGTAAAACTAGACTCTTGATGGTATTTCAGGAGAGGGTCTCACCTTTCTCTAAGTGCCGCATTGTACTATTTTTGACACTTCCAAAATGAGTGCTTCATTTGGCCCCCAAGATCCAGAGTCAGCATCAGCCAGTTTGTGTCACCTACGCTTTCTGTCTTTCCTGCCCTGACTGCCACTGGGTTTTCCCTGCTGTTTGTGAGTCTCCTCACAGGAGGTCTACAATGGCAAAGACATTGAAAATATTCATTGAGAAAGGCCACTCTCTGGGCTGCTGCCTCCCACACACCTCCTCCCTCAGACTTCAGTTTTCAGGATGCCAGAAGGAAGCCCAGCTTGAAACAGAATTTGGGATAATGATTTTCTATATTTCTGTGACATGTGTTGTCACATAAGCCCTGAAGCAAGTTGTTTTGCTTATGCTTGGACTCTCCCAAAATCTTTTATGAAAAGAATTCAGGCAGCTTGTGGTCCTCGAACCTCTTGATTCTGGTAGCTATGACCAAGTCCCTAAGATGGGTGAAGGCCCTCACTCCGAAGTGCTTTCTCTTCTACTGCTCTTCCTGACAGACTTCCCCCAGTCAAATGCCTTTCACCCTTATGCACTTGTATTTTAATTTTTAAATCACATAACAATTACAGACAAAAGATCATTTATGTTGATATTTAAGTGGGACTCTATCACCAATATTAGAGACTATTACGAATCCCTCTGAAGCCTCACACTTCAGAAATAACAATTTCTCCAAATTTTGTGTGTATCATGCCCTTGCTTTCATCTTAAAAGTTCGAATATGCATGTGTATATCCCTAAAAAGGTACCCTTATTAGTTTTGTATGTTTTAAACTACATATCAATGAAGGTTATGATAAATGCTATTCTGTGACTTGCTTTTTTACTCCTCACTTTATTAAATTCATCATTCAATTTCAATGTGTTCAGTTATATTAATCGTTATCAAATGATAAATTTGCCTTGCATATCTGGGAAAAATAACTTGTTCATTATGCATTACTCTTCTTATATATTGCAGAAATTGATTTGCCAACATTTGTTTAAGAGGTATTTACCTATATTCATGAGTGAGCTTGGCTTCCAGTTTCCATATATTGAACTATGTGTTTTCTTGTTTTGGAATCAGGAACTGCCACGTGTCTCTGTTATTCTCCTACTCTGAATGAGAATATTTAATGTGATGTCTTTGACCTCTTTAACTGTTGTATTTTAGAGGTGGTGGAAGGGGCTGGACATAACTTATCTCTTTCAGGTAATAGTTTGCCAGGATGTGAGGATCCATATGTTTTCCTATGGAAAGCTGTGAAAATCAAGTGAATTCTAGATTTCCAGGTATAAGCTGAAAATAGTTTGAACCTTGGGTTATCTCCATGATAGAGGGTATAAGTGTCTTTCATGTGTGGAGAGAAGAGTGAAAGGCACATTTAGTGACCAGAAGTGTTAACCTGCAAAACCTGCAGACCAGTCATTAAACTCATTTCCTGTTCTTTCCAGCTCTTAGCTAGGCTGCATTTTCTGACCTCCCTAACAAGTAAATAGGACCATGTAGCAAACTTCTAGCAATAAAAGTTGAGAAGAAGGTTATGAACATAATTTCTAAATCTGTATCCCCAAACCCATTTATGGATAATACTCTATGCTATTTTCTCTTTGACATGATGCCAACCAACAAGCACGATCACATTTCAGTCATGGTTATGTTGCCAAAACACCAGGGGAACAGTCTAGGTTCTGTTGCCTGCTGCACAGAAGGCCAATCACTGAGACAGTAAGTATTGTCAGGGAAGAAGGCGTTTTTGGGTGCTGCATCCTAGGAGGTGGGAGATCTTTCTCAAATCCATCTTCTCAACTGGCTAAAATTAGGGGTTTGTATCTCAGGAAAGATATGTAACTATATGTGGGAAAATAGGAATTAGAGAGGGGTATGGAAGAGGAATTGGTAAACAGGAATTAGGGAAAAGAAAGGAAGAGGAGTTGGAAAACATGAATCATGATGTATGAGGGGTCTGACAGATCATTGTCTGGATGCAGTGATTTGGTGAGTTTCAGTTCCTTGATACTATGTGGAATGCCTGAGGGTTGGTTCCCTGAAGAAGGAACTCAGAAAAGACAAATGTAAGTCTCAGGCTTTAAGATGAGGAGAGTCAATTTCTGTGTATATCCAAAAAATAGTAATTATCAGTTCTATGGGCCACTTGGGCCCAATTCAGTTCAAAGATGATAGAATGTATATACTTAAGTCTGTAGTCCCTGGGTAGGTGATCTGTAAATCAGAAACACACGTTTAACACATCACATTAAAATTTTCTATTAATCCTTCTGTTAATCCATCGAGATGATAAAGTATATCTATAAGAATAGCTCTACTACTCAACTAATATACTCCAATTTCTTTCTATTCACCTTCTACAACTTCAGAAGTCTAGAAGACAAGCTAGATTTTATGACTTTCACCTACATTTCTCTTAATATCTCTTTTATATTCCTTTCTCTTTTGCTATGCTGAATTCCAGATAATTTCTTCCTATCTATCTCTCACTTCATGGAATATCTCTTTACACATTTCTAACCTGCTAAGGGATAGCAAAATGCAGTTAGATACAAGGAATAAATGTTACTACTCAACAGTACAGTAGGGAAATTATAGCTAACAATAATTTGTTGTATATTCCAAAATAGCTAGAAGTGTAATGTTTCCAATACAAAGAAAAGATAAATGTTTGTGGTGATGCATATTTCAAGTACCCTGATCTGATAATTGCACATTGTATACATCTATCAAAATATCAGCAGTACCTCCAAAATATGCTCAATTATTGTATAAGTACAAAAAAATTTAAACAATTATAATGTATTATTTATTTCTAAATGGTTTATTAGATTTAAAATTTTCTTGGTGTTTAATTTTTTCATATATTACCTTATACCCTTTAACTTCCTAAAATATATTAGGTCTTCATATTTTAGAGTAAAATTCTGAAAATCCTTTGAGTATCTGATTTTACAATCTTTTCTTCCACTGATTTTCCCTTAGCAATGGCCTGTTTAAAGTGTTGTGATGATGTTACTGAGAAATGGGCTGGCTACCTGATGCACATAGAAGCCAATACTATGGCAGTGGTTTTCTAGAAAAGAAAAGGCTTTACTGTGAGTCTACTGGCAAGGAGACAGGTGGCAACACTCAAATCTGTCTCCCTGAACTGAGGATGGTGGGGTAGGTGGGGAGGTTTTCTAGGCAGAAAGTAGCAATGAGAGAGACAGGAAAATGCAAGGAGGCGTGATCTGATTGGATCAGGCAAAGAGGTGGTGATGGGTCCTTGGCTCTTAAATCTGCAAAAAACAAACAAACAAACAAACAAAAAAACAGGTTCCCCATTGCTTCTTAATGTGTTCTCCATTCCCCAATCCGGACATTTAGGTTCCCTATGTGGTTGACTTTTTGTTCTTGCCAGCTCTGGGGTCATGAATTGGGCAAGCTTGGTTCATCTGCATATCCTGAGGCTGTTTGACTTGCAACCTGGGGATTCATGGCAACTGAAAAACAACTCACCATTTTATTACATTTTATCACTGACAAAGCTGAAACAGATTGAACTGGTTCTGCAATTACAATTGTCATCATTTTTTCAAGCTCATTTTTCTCCTGTATCTTTGCTGACTGAGTTTCTGTATCTAGAGTGTCTTCTTTGAAAAAAGGATTTGAATTTGCTTCTGTCTGGTCCCTGAGGACACCATCAATCCAAGGCCACTTTGGAACTAAGCATTCAATTTAAGATTGTTTTATTTTGGTGTTGTGGGAGTAATTGAATTATGTGAATTTTATCACCAAAAGTAGGTGCAGGTGGGTTTGTGGTTAGAATTCCTATGAGACACATTTTTTTTTTCTTCCCTTCACCACCTTCCCCCAAAATCAAGATTGAGAGCTAATCCTCTTTCTGTCTCCCTCTGCTGGAAGGGTTTTTGTTGTTTTCCCTTGTGAAATTGTTGAAGTGTTTCTTTGTTTTGCTTGGTAGGATGGAATGCAGAAAATCAGCTTTACATAGGGCTCTGTAACCCAGTTTTCCTCCTTGTTCATGGCCTGGTTTTGTATCCTGCATCTTCCTCGTGCAGTCCGTTAAGATCACACCCCAGCTGTCTATATTAGCAAATGCTTCAGAGTGAATATTGGCTTCATAGTGCATTTCGCTTTCTATATTTCCACTTCTTTTTTTTTTCAGAATTTCTGTCCTTCGATGCTTTTCTTTACTTAAGTAACTGTTCATTCATGTATTATAAAATATGCTATTCATATTTATCCAGTCTTTTATATGTTTGCTCCCAAGAAGTTTCTTGTAGACATCTAATTCCTTATTTATAAATAGACTATTTTTTAGGGCAGTTTGAGGTTCACAGCAAAAGTGAACAGAAGGTACAGAGATTTCCAACTTGACCCTGGCACTCACACATGCACAAATTTCCTCATGTTTAACATCCCCCACCAGAGTGGTATATCTGCTACAATTGATCAGCCTACATTGACACATCATTATCACACAAAGTCCATAGTTTACTTAGGGTTCACTTTTGGTGTTGTAAATTCTATGAGTTTCAACAAATGTATAAAGAAATGTATTCACCATTATAATATCATACAGGGTAGTTTCACGGTCCTAAAACTCCTCTGTACTCCACCTATTCATCTCTCCTGACCCTCCCACCTTTGGCAACCATTGGTAGTCTTTTTACTGTCTCCAGAGTTTTGCATTTTTTCAAAACATCTTATAGTTGGAATTATACAGTTTGCAGCCTATTCTGATTGGCTTATTTCACTTAATAATATGCATTTAAGTTTCCTCCACATCTTTTTATGACTTAATAGCTCATTTTTTCTAGTGCTGAATAATGTACCACTAACTTTATATACCAAATTTTATTTATCCATTTACCCATTGAAGGAGATCTTGCTTGCTTTCAAGTTTTTGCAATTATGAATAAAGTTGCTATCAACATCCATGGGTAGGTTTTTGTGTGGATATAAGTTTTCAACTGATTTGGGTAAATACCAATGAGCAAGATTGCTGGATGTTATGGTAAGAGGATGTTTAGTTTTGTAAGAAACTGTTAAACTGTCTTCAAACTGGCTGTACCATTTTGCATTCCAACCTACAATGAATGAGAATTCCTGTTCTCTACATCCTTGTCAGCATTCAGTGATGTTAGTGTCCTAAACATTGGCCAATCTAGTAAGTACATAGTGTAATGCCTTATATTTTCAGAAATGGAATTCTCTCTCCCAGTTGTCATGAATAATAATAAACAGATATTTATGGTGGAGAGGAAGGAGGTTGCCTTAGTAGTAGTGTTTCAGTTTCAACTAAGTCACCCAAGCCATATTGCTACCCCCACACAAACTCATATTTGTAGGCTTATCCTTGGAAACTATGAAGTAGATTAGTAAAATGATGACTTTACCTGGTGTTCCTGTGAGTGGAGTGCCCTGAAAGCGGAAAGCACTCAAGAAATGTTGAAGGCTGACTGTGATGATGATTGCATCATTGGACTGAATAAGGTGATGATGAATTTGGTGATGGTGAATAAAGTGAATAAGATGATGATGATACATTTGGCAAATGTAACAAATGGTGAAAATGCAAATGTCTGTGGCTATGGAGATGGTTCAAGATTACTTGTACCGGAGGACATATGGAAAAAATCCACAGGGAGCAGTACCACTTAGCATCATCTTCTTCAAGAAATTTTAAACCTAATGGGAGAGATAAAATAATTTAAAATGCATTGTAAATGTTATTTATTATCTACTTTGCTCCAAAATGTATTTTAGTTGAGATGCTTTTCTATTACCTATATATATGTGGCCTTGCTAAATGGGTTCATATATTAGCCTTGGGACTAGAAGGCCAATCCTAAAAGCAAACTTCTCAATTTTTCTTAACTCACAGGGGACATTTGCTGCTGTTAGCTAATCAGCCCCAAACACAATCGGTTTCCTTCACAAAAGTGGCAGCCTTTCCCTGTTCTAACAATGTCCACTTTCAGGAAGTCTCTTCTTATATTCCCAACCTTACTTACCGAGTGATTATCATAAAAGATTCAGCCTCATTAAGCTGACATAAAAGATTCTGGTTAGTTTAAGGAAATAGCCCCTTTAGAAGATGCTCCCACATGGGAATCGTGCTGAGCCCCTGCCCATCAGAGCCACATTCTTGCTTTCTTTTGTTCACAGAATATGCAGAGGACATACCCACATGTAATGAGCAGATCTAATCTTAAGAAGTGTGCTCACAAGCTTGCATACTAACAATAAGATTTATAAGCAGGTGGAGAGCTTGCAGGTAGTCTCTTCTTTTCCAAGGTAGTTTTGAAAATTAGCAAATTAAATCACAACGTTTACACTGTACAGAAGTACCTAGTTTGATGCATTGTTCTTTTTCCCCTTATGCAGAAGAATATTTTAATAGCTAGAAAAGGACAAAGCCTGCTATTTCCTGGCTATGGGCAGCATGCCAGCTCTTCCATCTAAAGTGATCAAAGACTGTAAACACCATGTGATAGAGCAAGAGATCGTTTTTAAATAGTAGGGCTTTATTGCAGTTTTATGAAGCAGTAAACTCTGCAGGCATCACAGGTGAGATTTGGGGAGTACTTGGGTCATTTTTATCTTTCAGGCTCTAAGTTATAGGATCAAAAGGAAGTAACTTCATAAACATTTCAATCTCCTTTCCTTGAGCACACCAGTATCGTGAGGGGATTTAGCTCACCTAATGGTGACACTTTCACTATGAACACTTTGTACTCATCATCCAGGTGAGAAAGGTCTCCGTTATTACAACATCTGGCCATTTGGAGGTTAAAGTAACATGTACATTATCGCCAAAGACATAGTTTATATGAGCTGCAAGGAGGATATTATGTAACCAATGTTCTCTAATAAGGGGAGATAGATGCAAACCATGAAAATAATTCATATCACATATGCACTTTTCATATTGTGTTTATGAAACTCAAAAGGTTTTAACTGACCATGCTTGCTCTTCAGTCAATTAGCTCAATTTAATACTAAATTGTCATTTCCTTTTAAATATTTTTTAAATGCTCCAATTCAAGCTTACATATGTTCTCAAAACTACTCAGAAAATTTTCCTAGGATGATAAAAGTTTAGTTAATTTGTAGTAAGAATAGGTATAAAAATTATAATATAGTAAAGAACTGAGGGGTCTCTCCAACTCATAATTTGATAGTTCTCCCTATTCCTTTTAGTTAATAAATTTGATACCTTCATTCCCAATTTTTCTTAGATCTTATTGCCTATTATTTGTACCAATAGACACATGAAACATATTGTCTTAGTCAGTTTGGATTGCTATAACAAGTATACCATAGACTGGGTGGCTTGTAAAACAAACATTTTTTTTCTGACAGCTTGTAGATTGGGAAATCCAAGCTCAAGATGCAAGCAATCTGGTGTCTGATTAGGACCCTCTTCTTGATTTGTGGGTGACCATCTTCTTCTCGTATTCCCATATGGTGGAGAGCAAATAAAGAGTAAGCAAGTTTCTTTTGTCTCTTCATACAAAGGCACAAATCTCATTTATTCATAAGGGTTTTACCTTCACAGTCTAATTACCTACAGAAGACCCCACCTCCAAACACCATCACGTTGGAAATTAGCCTTCAACATATATATTTTTGTGTGTGGAACACAAACATTCAGTCTACAGCACGTATTACCTCCCATTAATGTATTTTCAATACTGTCCTTACTAAAAGAGCTAAAGTGAATAAATGCTCTTAATTATGTTCTCCAAAGCTCAGAAGAGTTGTGGGGAATAAAATGTGGTCTTAAATTTCATGTCTTCATTTCCTGCAATTCCTAATCAGTTCCTGAGGAGCAAGTCTTTGGGATTGTATGTACTTTCCACATTCATATTCTTCATTCCTCATCTGCAACCTGCATGTAGTTACTGTTTTGATCATTTCCTTCTTGTCAATATCTCTACTAGCCCTGTTCAATATGCATTTATTTCTTACATTTGTCACAATTTAACATTTTTAAACTATTCCTAATTATTTCCTCTACCGTCTTCCTTAGATACTATTCAATTTCCTCTGTCCCCTCAAAATGATAAGACACTTCCGCCCTTTCTATATAGAAACCAGAAAATAAGGCAGCCTGTTCACCAGATTTCTCAATATCCTCTGCCTTCTCCAAATCCTTGTTTTATCCACTTTATTTAACAAAAGTACATAGTCTAAATTCAGATCCCATATTACTTCAAACTGCTTTACTTTCAGAACTTTTTCTCTCTGTCTATCTAGAACAAAAGTCAATAGCCCATTTTCTCTTATTCTACTGCCTGAGAGAATAAAATATGTTTATTGATACAACTTCAATTAAATACTGGGTAAGTCACGCACCAGGACCACTAATGCTAAACATCAGTCTAGATGTTTTATTCTTCTCGACTTAATGCACCCATTGTCCAAGGTGACTATTTAGTGCCTCTTCCCTTTCTCAAAGCCTTCCCCCAACCCCTTACTCTTAGCAATTTACTTCAACTTGGTCTCCCTCAATTTTCTTCTCCTCCAGTACTATTTGAGTCTTGAACTCATTCTTTTCTATTTTTTTTCTAAACTTGAGAAAGAATTTCCACACTCTTTCTCAAGCTAAATGTTTAATTGGTGGGCTTATCAATTATTCTTTTTATTAAATCATCAGTTGTAAAACTGTAAACCTGATGACCCTTTATTATTTATAAACATACACAAGAGTTTTTTTGTTTAAATAAATAACATTCTTGAGTCTCTGTTTCCATCAAGCTAACTTTTCATTTTATATTCCCTTCACTTATAAGCTCCCAAACTACCTCAGAAAAATGCTGCATCATTCTCACACCATCAAGTTTACGTGGCTATATACCAATCCACTCTCCCTTTTCTCCTGTATGAAAAGAAAGGGGCCCATGTTCCTATCTCATGTGACTCTACGTTTTCTTTGGCTCTCATACTCTCCTACATAAGACAAACAATACAAAAAAAATTACCTGTTTCTGCTTCATTAACAGTTTTCCTCTTTACTGTATTATTCTCCAAAGCACAACATTATAAAAATATAGTCTGGATTAAGAAAACAATATCCTCCCTTTCCTCACATACCTGTCCAGCTACCATTCAATGTCTTTATTCCTTTACCCAGTGAAATGAGGAAGAATTGTCTAATTTTGTGTCATGATTTGCTTACCACTGACCATTCTGTAATCAGGCTTCTCTGTCCCTACCACCTTTACGAGTCTGCTCAGGCTTCCAGAACAAAATACTACAGATGAGGTGGCTTAAACAGTAGACATCTATCTATTTTCTCACAGTTCTGGAGGCTGGAAGTTCATGATCAAGTTGCTGGCTGGCACATTTGGTTTCTAGTAAGGACTCTCTTCCTAGATTGTAGACAGCCACCTTCTTGCTATGTCTTCACATGGCCTTTTCTATCTGTGTGTAGAAAGAGAGAGAGAGAGAGAGCTCTTCCTTTTCTTATAAGGACACCGTTCTATCAGATACGGCCTGATATGGTTTGTCTGTGTCACCAGTGAAATCTCACCTTGAATTGTAATAATCCCCATGTAATCAAGGGCAGGCCAGGTGGAGATAATTGACGTGGGGGTGGTTTCCTCCATACTGTTCTTCCAGTAGTAAGCAAATCTCATGAGATCTCATGGTTTTATAAACAGGAGTTCCCCTGCACAAGTTCTCTCACCTGATGCCATGTAAGACGTGATTTTGCTCCTCCTTTGCCTTCTGCCCATGGCTTGTGAGGCCTCCCCAGCCATGTAGGATTGTGAGTCCATTAAACCTCTTTCCTTTCTAAATTAGGAAAAGAAAAAGGAAAGGAAATCCCTTTCACAATGCCAACAGTCACAGTTGGCGTTGAAGTTCAGTCTGTGAATTTGGGGTGTCACAGTGCACAGTTCTGTCCAAAACTCTACCTCACTGAAACAGCTCTTCTAACCACCTTCCATTTTTATATCCTAGTGTTTTTTTTTTCTGTATTTGTCTTATTCCACCTGTTTATGTCACTTAACACAGTTGACCACTCTGTCCATCCTGAAGCACTTTATTGTCTTGTATTTTATTAAGATGTTTTATTTCTTAAGATTCAAGCTGTGTCCTTGCCATTATAGAAAATCAGCTTTAATCAAAGTCACTTGTAAATTACTTAGCAAAACTTTTGCATCATTTTCATGCTTGATCCACTTAATCTCTAGACATTTGACACTCCAGACTAGATGCTGATGCAGAGTGACCTATGGCCCCTAGATAGTGTTCAAGATGATCCATGGTTGCAGGAAAATATTCATATTTATTTATTCATTATTGACACAAGGTCTCTCTGTGTTACCCAGGCTGGAGTGCAGTGGCATGGTCACTGCTCACTGCAACTTCAAACTCCCAGGCTCAAGTGATCCTCCCACTTCACCCTCCCAAGTAGCTAGGACTACAGGCATGCACCACCACACCCAGTTAAGTTATTCATTTATTTTTTATTTTTTGTAGAGATGAGGTCTCACTCTGTTGCCCAGCCTGCTGCTGTCAAATTCCTGGTCTCAAGTGATCCTTCATGGTGGGAGCCATCATGCCCAATCCAGGAAAAATATTTAAAACTTATATTTATATGTATTTTTATCTTAAAAATATTAGGCATTACAAAAGTTAATTATATGGCAGCCTCATCAGTTTCATTGGTCATCTAAGATTTGAGATTGAGCTGAGAGAAGAATGGGAGCTCCTCCATGAAGATGGTTGTCAGTGGTGGCCTCCCTTATTCAGTTATTTTCAGTATCTTGAGAAATAGTTTAATAAACATGCTCACCTAAGTGGATTTAAGCAATATATAAAAATTACATATTAAAATACTGACAATGATTTACAGTAAGGTAAGGAATATTTTGTATCATACAGAGTTTGCTTATTTTATGGCAAAGAGCTTCAAAATTTATTTTACTAAACCTTAAATGTAAAAGAAAAAAATACTAAAAATTGGTGTGTCATGCCACCCAGCAGATATTAACAGACATGCACACACACACACTGAGTAAAAATAAAATGAATTTTTCCAAAAAATAAAATTCATTCTATGGAGACATTATTATTTTTTAAGTGAATTGGGAGTGTTTTCTTTTTTTGTTTTTTTTGAGATGGAGTCTTGCTCTGTCGCCCAGGCTGGAGTGCAGTGGTGCGATCTTGGCTCACTGCAAGCTCCACCTCTCAGGTTCACGCCATTCTCCTCCCTCAGCCTCCCGAGTAGTTGGGACTACAGGCGCCTGCCACCACGCCTGGCTAATTTTTTGTTTTTTTAGTAGTGATGGGGTTTCACCGTGTTAGCCAGGATGGTCTCGATCTCCTGACCTCGTGATCCACCCGCCTCGGCCTCCCAAAGTGCTGGGATTACAGGCGTGAGCCAGAGAGTGTTTTCTTAATTAAATGACTTATTTACTGAAAAAAATGGAAATGTTTTATGTTTAAAACTTCTATATCAGAGGTCTTAAAAATAACTTGGAAACAAAATGTTGTAATATAGTTTACAAAACTTCTTAATTAAAAGTTCAGCATGCTTAGAATCATGATTTGCAATTTGAATTGGAAAATACGTGTCATGATTTACTAAGTACAACCGATAATTCAGTTTTTAAATATGGTCTCATATGTCCTTGTAACTTTACTTCTTCATGGCAGCCATTTAGACTAAAAATCATTTAACATAATCCTTATCAAAATCCTAGCTGATATTTTCATGTGAAATTACCAAGCTGTTGCTCAAATTCATCTGAGAATTGAAAGGACCCAGAATATACATATAAAAAAAAGCCTTGTAAAAGAACAAAATTGGAAGACTCACACTTCCTTATTTCAAAATGTACCACAAAGATCCAGCAATCCAGACAGCATAAGGACGGCCATACAGATCAATAGAACAGAATTGGGAGTCCAGAAATTAGCTCTTACAATTATGTTCAACTGATTTTCAACAAAGGTGCCAAGATTATTGAATGGGGGAAAGAATGATGTTTTGAACAAATAGTTCTGGGATAGCTTGATATCCACATGCAAAGATTAAACTTGAATCGCTGCCATTGAACATACACAAACATTAACTTAGAAAGAATCATAGACCTAAATGTAAGAGGAAAACTGCAAAAATCTTAGAGGAAACATGGGTAAATCTCTGTCACTTTAGGTTAGGTAATTGTTTCTTAAATACAAAACCAAAAGCACTAGTGATACATAAAAATATTAATTTCATTAAAAGTGAAAAGTTTTGAACTACAAATAAGACTATCAGGGAAGTACAAGGACAAATCCCAGAATGGGAGAAAATGTTTGCAAAAATATACTCAATAGGGCAGGCGCAGTGGCTCACGCCTGTAATCCCAGCACTTTGGGAGGCTGAGGTGGGTAGATCACGAGGTCAGGAGCGTGAGACCAACATGGAGAAACTCCATCTCTACTAAAAATACAAAATTAGCCGGGCATGTTGGCACATGCCTGTAATCCCAACTACTCGGGAGGCTAAGGCAGGAGAATCGCTTGAACCAGGCAGGCGGAGGTTGCGGTGAGCCGAGATCGCATCGTTGCACTCCAGCCTGGGCAATAAGAGCAAAACTCTATCTCAAAAAAAAAAAAATAAATAAAAATAAATAAATAAATAAATAAATAAATAATAAATAAATATATATCCAATAAAGTATTTGTATCAAAAATATACAAAGAATTCTTACAACAAAAGACAACTCAATTAAAAATGGGCAAATAATTTAAATAAATACTTCCGTAAGGAAAAATATACAAATTTCCAGTAAGTACATGAAAAGATGCTCAGCATTGTTAGTCATTAGGGAAATAAAAATCACAAGCACAATGAAATAACACTTTACATCCACTAAGAGACTGTAATGAAAAAGGTAATAACAAATGTTGGCAAGGGGATAAAAAAGTTGGGAATCTCATGCACTACTGATGTTTATGTAAAATGGTGCAGCTGCTTTGTAAAATGCTACAGCAGTTCCTTCAAAATGTTAAAAATAGAGTTACCATAAGATCCAGAAATTCTCTGCTAGATACACACACACACACACACACACACACACACACAAGAGTAAAAAACCCATGTCCATACAAAAACTTACACATAAGTGTTTATAACAGCATTATTCGTAATCACTAGTAAGCAGGCACAGATCAAAAGTCCATAAACAGATTAATTAATAAATAAAAGACAGTCTAAGCATCTAATAGGATGTTATTGCACAATAAAAAGGCATAAACTACTGATATGTGCTATAATGCAGTTAAACCTTAAAAGCACATTAAGGACATCAGTAAGACCACATATGGCAGGATCTCATTTATAGTAAACATCTTGAACAGGCAAATCTATAGAGACAAAAGTTACATTAGTGTTTGCCTAGAGGGTGTGGGTAAAACAACCGGGGTTTCTTTTAAGGAAGACAGAAATATTCTAAAATTAAATTATTGTGGTGATGGTCGTACAACCCACAAATATACTAAATAAGATTGAATTTTTCTCCTTAACATGATTTGTAGAGTTTATGAATCACATCTCAATGAAGTTATTTAAAAACCAATCTTGAATCAAACTTTAAAATTAGATATTTGAATACATCACGTTGTAGTTAAGCATTTTCATATTATAAAAATATGAATATATATTTTCAGTAATATAAAAACATAAAATTGAAACAACATAAATACTATAAAATTGAAAGCTAAATGGTATTTATTTCATGTTTATCTCACCATTTTTAAAGCTCTATTAAATTGTAAAATTGTATAAGGTACACAGTAGGTAAAACATTAGGAGATGTGTTCACAATTTTTTTTTCTGAATTAAAAAGAACTATAGAACAATATTCGAGATGATTCTCTCTTTCTGACTGTCTCATGCTCTCAATTGTTAGAAAAGAAATCTCCATGCTCCTGATTAATGTCCCCATGTGGAGTGAATTCCACATAAGTAACATACCTGCCCTGTTGGCAGACCTTACCCCTCTGTCTTTCACCAGAAAAGAGAGAATTCCTTTTGGGGGCAATTTTAGATGACTGACAGGTATGACTAAGCTTCTTCTGGGTATCTTTTGTGAATTTTATTACCTATGGAGAAAGAGTGAATTCTGGTTTGTTCTCTCCCTCATGAGATGGGACTCAGTTAAAAATTGCAAGATTGAGGCTAGGAGCTGGGCAACATATTGAGACCCTGCCTCTAAAACAAAAATTTAAAAAATCAACTGAGCATAGTGGCATGTGCCTATAGTCCTAGCTACTCAAAAGGATTGAGCCTAGAAGTTTGAGGCTGCAGCCAGTGAGCTACGGTCCCACAACTGCACTCCAGCCTGGAGACCGAGCAAGATCCTCTCTCTAAAAAAATAGGAGATTAAGTTTATGAAATATTAGGAGGTATATTGAGGTGAAATACTAGAAAGTATGTTGTGACCATTCATAAAAAACATATTTTCCAATCAGTTTAATCTATTCTAAGACTGTTTTTAACTGTTGCACCCATATTTTAATTACTCCAAACACTGGTGGGGAATAAGGGCATTACATTCCCTCGAAGTCCGGTAGCATTCAACAAATGGTTTGGTTTAAGTACAGTAAAAGCATCATCTTTCCAACAAAAACATAGAATAGTCCATTTGGGGATAGGATTGTCATTGCAGAGTGGTAGGATAAGGTAGCCCTAATTGTTGGCAGAAGTATAAAAGAGAAGCTGCAGGTATGACTAGGTGTGAGTTATGGAACCAACCACGCACAAAGAGAAGAGATATATCCACCAAGAAGGACAGCCACGGGTTTGAGTTGGGAAATATGACACTGAGCAATATCTCTGCCTCTTTCTGCAACATGTGGGAAACACTTTCCTTAGTAGATATATTTGCTGTGAGATAAAAAAAAAATCCTTCCTTGGCAGGTTGACTCTCTGAGCAGCAATTTTACCTAGGATTGATTAAACACGGCACAAGTGTTCCTTGCATAGCATCTACAGTGACAGACACCATGTCAAATTTGATATAGAGGAGGAGAACCTCAAAGAAACCCAAAAATTGTGAATTTCTTGGACACATGAAATAGCAGCAATTTGGGAGACACCTGCGGAAATTATCTTGTAGAGTATGAGTTGGGGAATGACTATGAGGAGCTACTACAGAGTAGGGAAAGAACCACACGAAAAAAATTAGAAGGAACAATCTTCAGGGCTCATACAGGAACAGAATACAGAATAGTCTCCGTTCCCACCAACCAGATCTTAAAAACACATAACTCACAGGCATGCAGTAAGAGTATTCAGAGGGCTCTTGCCTCAGTAAGGAGGAATTTTCAGCCCTAGACAAAATTGTTTTTTGATTCTACCTTACAAAGTTTAAAACCAAGATGTAAAAGGATCAAACTACAAAGTCTCAAAGAAAAAATATGCTGGATATAATTAATGACAGATTAGACATTTGCAGACCAAAATATTAGTGAACTTGAAGACATAAGAATAGAAATGATCACAAGTAAAATGCAAAAGGAATTTTAGTTCTAAAGATGAAACCTAAAAGTATAAACTTTCTAGAAGAAAACAAAGGAATAAATATTTGTGAATTTGGATTAAGCAAAATTTTTTTAGGTACAACACCAACAGCAAAAGCATGCTGTATGAAAGAAAACCTTGATACATATATGAAGATATATATATATACACACACACACACACACCATGTAATAAATGTATATATATACATAACATACACACTTATATTAACATACATCAAATCGTGTACTTTAAATATGTATTATTTACTTCCGTCAATTATACCTCATGAAAGCTGTTTTTAAAAATTGCCACGATGGTGACACTGACAAAAGATTCAGTGCTTTTGTGAAGATTAAAGACTAATTAGAGTAAGTTCAAAATAGAAGGAGAGGAGAGAAACTAAAGACAATGAATATAGCTGTAGATAGTTAATCAATATCTGATTCTCTACCCTTCTGGGCACAAAGGAAAATTGCAATTTCTTGTCCCCTCGGACTTAGGCATAGCCTCGTAGCTTGTTTTGGCCCATGAGCTACTGTCAAAGTAACAGGCATCACTAAATGCTGATTCTTGAACTTCAGCCTATTCCTCTCCTTCCTAGATCAAAGTGGAAGCATAAGTTTATATAAAGGTATAATAGATCAAAATATTTTTGCTTGTTTCATCAACATTGGGAGCTGCATTTTGTTGTTTCCTGGACCTACAGCAAATTTTAGGTGAATTAAAAGTAAATTACTGTTGTGCTAAGCCACAGATACTTGGAAGTTGCTTTTTGCCCTGGCATAACTTGGTTTATCTCTACTGCTATAAATGTGCTTTCAGAAAGTTTTGCTATAAAGGGCAGTAGAAAGATGAGGCAATAATAAGAAGAGGATGTATAATCAAGGATGGTTATTTTTATAAGATAGGAGTTGCTAAAACATTTTGCATAAAAGTTACTAAGTAAAAGACTTAACATTTATTAGAGCTGTTACTATTTCCCACAGCAATTATTCAGAAAAGAAACCCTTTCCTTTAGGAAGGTGACCTTTAGCTTCCACTTGCCCCCTCAGCCAGGCACTATTGTACAAAAAACAAATTATATGGTTATCATGGTGACCCTATATCCAAGTCTTAAGGAAAAAAGAATAGTTCATATTGAAATAGAATGGGCAATACAATGCATTGGTACAGTTACAGAGAGGTTGGCAGATTTATTGGTGGGAGAGTTAATTATTTCAATCTATAAATGTGTACTGATTTTTTTGGCACATTTCAGGCACTATTCCAAGAGCTTGGGGTGCAGAAGTGAATAAGACATAGAAACAGCCTCGCCTTTATAGGGCTTGCATTCTAGTGGGGTGGAGGGGAGGACAGGGAAAGCCAACACAAAATAAATCAAATCTAATCAAAATGGATAAAAATTTAAAATTAACAAAATAAATACATAAAAATAAATAAGAAAACAGAATTACATTATGTGGTATATTAGAACTTATAAGTAGTATGGAAAGAAGAGAAAAATAAAAGGTGTCGGGAAGAGGTATGGAATATGAACTTTTTCTTCTGGATGTGTATTTCCTCAGTGAAATAGAAAGTGTCAGCAACAGCAGAGGATAAGAAGATGTATTAAAATTTGAGATGAGGCAGAAGACATGAAATAGCAATCTGGGAGTGTTGGCAAGTGACTTGATTAGGGGAATGTGGTAGAATTGTTGGGCAGCACTGACTGAAGGACCACTTGAGATTCAATGTAATAAAATTGAAATAAATCTAATCCACATGATACATGTTTTTCTCCAAGCATCTTCAGCTGAATAGGTACAAACAGTGAATACGTGGATAATGGATTAGATTTGAGCATATTTGGGGTCAGTTAATTCCTAATAATTCAGGCTATAAATCTCAAGAGCGTTTGACCCCAGCTTTTAAATCTTCTTTTTATATTCAATCAATTCCTTAGTTATTCAATTATTCATTCATACCTTCAACTAATATATATTGATTGTCTATATTGTTCATGGCACTGTGGCAAATATGAAAGTATCTCTTGCCCTCAGGAAATATCATATGATATAACATAATATAACACAATACAATACCACAGCAAAACATAACAAAACAGAACATGTAATATTGTTGGAGAAACCGTCTGTGCACCATGCAGGTTAAGTACTATAATAAAGGAACATATCATAGTAGTGCAAAAGAGAGTTGGTGGGTTGAGTGTGTGGTAGAAGAAAATTTGCCAAGAAGAGATGTTTAAGATATATCGTATAGGAATTTAATGGATTAGCTCAAAGGCGGCATTATAGGCAGAGTAAATAGCATGTGAAAACAATTATGAAGTGGGAGAGAATAGTATGTTTAGTTAAACTGTGTTGATAGTTGAATTTTAAAAGATTAAAGTTTCTGGGTGTGAAGTGGTATCTAATGAGGAAATGAGAAAGGAGAGATAAGCAGGGATCAAATCATGAAGAAACACATCCCATGTTAAGAATTGTAAAGTTCCCAACCGAAGCGCCCATCAACATGTGAGTGGATAAAGAGAATGTGATCTATATACACCATGGAATACTACTCAGCCATAAAAAAGAATTGAAATGATGTCTTTTCAGCAACTTGGAGCTGGAGGCCATTATTCTAAGTGAAGTAACTCAAGAATGGAAAATCAAATATTGTTATCTTCTCACTTATAAATGGGAGCTAAGCTTCGAGGATGCAAAGGCATAAGAATGATGTAATGGACTTTAGGGTCTCAGAGTGGAAGAAGACAGGAAGGAGGTGAGGGATAAAAGGCACACATAAAAGTGTGCACTACTTGGGTGATGGGGGCACCAAAATCTCAGAAATTACCACTAAAGAAGTCTCCATCCATGTAACCAAAAATTACATGTATCCCAATAACTACTGAAATTAAAATAAAATTCCTATAAAAAAGACTCCTATACTTTCCAAATTTTCTTTTCTATATTGGAAAGTTCATATAATATAATACAATATAACATAATATAGCACAGTACAACACCATAGCACAACATAAGAGAGTATAACCTGTTTTAATAATGTTGAAGATACTCTGTATGCACTATGCAGGTTAAGCACATCATTGAACTTTTGGAAATAAAGAAATGATAAGTGCTTGAGGTAATGGATACCCAATTACCCTGATTGGATCATTACACATTGTACACTTTTATCAAAATATCACACGTACCCCCAAATACGTGCAACTATTATGAATCTGTAATGATTAAAAATAATAAATTTAAAGAAATTTAAATAAATTTAAAGAAAAGTTAGGAGGTACAAAATTGCTCTTGGGATCTTAAGGAACTGATGTGATCACAATCATCCTTTAGAAAGGCCATTCCAACAATCTTGTACAAGACGCATTGAGAAAGACGAGATTTGTGGTGGGAAGACTATTGTATTAGTTCGTTTTCATGTTGCTGATAAAGACATACCCGAGACTGGGAAGGAAAAGAGGTTTTAATGGACTTACAGTTCCACGTGGCGGTGTAGGCCTCATAATCATGGCGGAAGGCAAGAAGGAGCAAACCATTCATTACGTGGATGGCAGCAGGCAAAGAGAGAGAGCTTGTTTAGGGGAATTCCACTTATAAAACCATCAGATCTCGTGAGACTTATTCGCTATCAAGAGAAGAGCATGCGAAAAACCTGCCCTCATCATTCAATTACCTCCTACAGGGTCCCTCCCACAAAATGTGGGTTCAAGATGAGATTCGGCTGGGGAAACAGCCAAAACATATCAACTATTAACCTGATAATCAGTTTGCTTTTCAAGAACGTGCCTTTTATTTATAGACTAGTTCCTGAATTTCTTGATCTGATCAATACATTCCATTTTGCTTTGCTCTCTACAGTTTTACAGCCACCAAATCGGGTGCTTTTCATTGTTTTGTTAAGTCAATGCTTTTTTTTATTTTAATGTATTCTTTTGCCTTTTTCAGTTATGCTCCCTATTCCTTCTAAGTTTTATTGGCTTATCCATCTTTGCAATGCATCCTCGAACTTACTCATAGAATGCCACTTCCAGGCAGACCCGGGATTTTCTCCCTTGGAACTCCACCTTAACTTATGGAATAAGAGGAAAATAGAACTTAAAGAATGACAATATGAATTAAGTGAAAGTCATATTTCTGTAATGTTTAAAAGATACCATTATTATTAAGTACTGATGATCTACTGGATATGGAGAGTAAATGAGAAAGGGGATAAAGACTGATTTCCAAAAATCATTTCAGTAGTTAAATATATAATGCAACTAACACTGAAATATGGACTATAAGAGGTGACAGCAAGTTTTCAAGGGAAGATAGTAGATTGAAGTTAAACATCTTTGTAAGAGAATGCTTAGTGAATAGTTAAATATACAGTTGAGCTCAGATTTAACTTTGGCTGCAAGATGAAAATGTATGTGTCACATACACTGATGCCAGCCTGAAGACCACAAGTTAACATGAAGCCACCCAAGAAAATGGCCACAGGCAGACCCTCAGCAGTAACATAGTTAAGCAGTAATACAGTTAAGGAGGAGATACAGGAAAGAGCTCATGGGAAAGACTGAGAAAAAGAAAATGAAGATGAAGATGGAAAACCAAGCAAGGGTGTTACAGAAGCCACAGTATGAGGGGAATAGTTAGCAGTGGCAAAGCAGCTCACAGCCTCCTCCTTCTCAATGCCTCTTATATCAGTCTCCTCTTTCCATTCCTGCTGTGTCTGCCCTTTCTGAAGAGTTTATTAGATTGCCATTCTTTGTCTCTCAAATTATAAGTGTTTCCCCAGACCATCCTTCACAGTCATCAGAGTTATCATCTGAATAAATCAGTTCATATTGTTATTTTTCCTCCCCAAATAGTTAAAACCTGGAAACTTGGACAATCAAGTTCAAGCTCTTTACCTAGTGTTTAAAGTCTCCCATGTGATTGTCCCAATCAATCCTTCTAACTTAATTGTCCCCAGAATGTCCTTTCACACTTGTGCTCTATTCACAGCTGATCACTAACATTCCTGGACCGGACAGGTACTTTCAGCCCTAACTTTGTACATATCCTAGAATTACCCTTATCCTACAATTAATCAACTTACCAAGATACTCCTCCACCTATACCAAGATTCCTCCTTCAGCCAAGCTTTAATTCATATGTTAACTCCTTATAAAGCCTTCTCAGGGCCTGCCGTTTATAAATAATCACTTGCAATGTGAACATTTTATGTATGTATTTTCACATGTGTTTCCTTTTGTCTACAGGAAGTTTCAGACATACACATTCCTTAAAGTAAGTGACCCTGTCTTTTTTATACTGGTAGTCTTTACTTCTCTAGGAATGACTTTCCAAATTTTGGATCCTTGCCATATATATATATACAGTTGATTCTTGAATTCTGAATTAGTTTGGACCAAATTAGAAAGAGTTTTCTACAGGTATGTTTATGTGTGTGTGTGTGTGTGTGTGTGTGTATGTCCATGCTCACACATGCTTACAAAGGCACGTAGATCAATACTACCTTGCTCATTTTTCTCCAAAAGTACTTACAAGTTTGAAGTCATTCATCTTATCAGAAGCTATGGGGTCTCTTTTTCCAGTTGTTAAATGTAACATTTTATACGTGATATTGAAAGCACCAATGCTAACTGAGATTCTATTAAAGAGAAACTGAGGCCCAGTAAGATGTCATAATTCACTCCTAATGATATATATTCCAGCTGTACACTCTGAATATTTTCCAAATCACTCTGCATCATTTCTGATTTGATTCAGTTACACAGCGTTATGTATTCATGGCTTTAACAAATGCCAGGACATGGAGGTGTTTAAATATAATCTAATAAAAATATATTTATGGAGTTTCCACCTAGCACTGTGTTAGGCACTTTACAAACATTATCATTAATGCTCAGAATGTCCTTTTGAAGTGGGTTTTCTTATCCCCATGTTAGCAAGAAATTGTATCTTACAAGATTAAGTAACTCAACTGCAATCACTGCTAGCAAATGACAGAGCTAAATTTCAAGTGTGGGTCTGTCCTAGTACAAAGTCCATGCTCTTAACAATTTTAGATCAGTGTAATAGCTGACTCTTGGCTAATGTATATGATGAAAAGAGTAATATTAATTTTCAAACTGATCCTAGAGAATTTCATTAGCAAAAAATAGTTTAAAGAAGAGTTTTTAGAACAAACCTATGAAAATGATTTTTGCTTCACTCTCACACACTTTATTCTGCCAAGCTTTTTAGACTGTTTTATTGTCCGTTTATCCATTCATGTACTCACAACATTTTACTGAGTACCTACTATGACCCATCCACTGTTCTAGGCATTCATGGAATATATTCATGAACAAGACAAGAGAGACCTTCTCCATCATATAACTTATATTTTAACAAAGGTGAGGCAGAAATTAGACAGTAATCACAGTGAAGGAGCTAATTCTGTAGTTACATGATGCTAAGTGTTATGGAAACTTTTAAAAATAAAAAAGTAGGAATTGTGGAATTGGGGAGTGTATTGATGGAAAGTTAAGTAGCGGGTTCAGTGGGAGAGTACTCCTGGCAGAAGCAAAGGCTTGACTACATACTGGAGGAACAGCAAGACCTGTGTGTTGGGGTGCAGTGAGCAAGGGGTGAACGTTAAGAAAGGAGATCTGGGCCGGGCGCAGTGGCTCATGCCTGTAATCCCAACACTTTGGGAGGCCAAGGTGGGTGGATCATCTGAGGTCAGGAGTTCAAGACCAGCCTGACAAACATCGTGAAACCCTGTCTCTACTAAAAATACCAAAAAAAATTTGCCTAGCATGGTGGTGCACGCCTGTAATCCTAGTTACTCAGGGGAGGCTGAGGCAGGCGAATTGCTTGAACCCAGGAGGCAGAGGTTGCAGTGAGCCAAGATTGCACCATTGCACTCCAGCCTGGACACAACGAGCAAAACTCAATCAAAAAAAAAGAAAAAAGAAAAAGAAAAGAAAGATCTGAGAGATGCCAAGAAAGGGTGTTTATATTTCTGCTGAACTAGAACATATGATATATATACGCCGCTGTTTCCTGTTTTGTCTTAGTCTACCACCCTTGACTTTTGCTTTTGCCCTTTTACAACTTTGGGTCTGGAAATCAATTGTGTCATATAGTGGTTTTGTTACTTATACGTGGAAACTTCATCTTTACAGCTGTCAGTTTGTATAGTGAAGTCCAAGTAAAATGGAAAATCTGCCCCTGTCCGGTGTCAAGACCAGGGCAAAGGAGTGAATTCCTGAGTTCAGGTTAGACATTTTAGTCTATTTTCTTGGTCTCTGAACAGACTTTATCTTGTCTTTGGGTTGATGTTAACTCTCAGGGGTAAAGTAAAAATCAGTTCTCTTTATTCCAGAAGCTGATGTAAAGATCTGAGGCTAACAGATATTTCATTTTCTAAAATGTTTTAACAATTGTTATAGAGTTCATTCTAACCCCAATCTGAACACCTGTCAAATACTTGGTAACTGAGTAATTTACAGTAAAATCTTGAAACATAAGTTCTTAAATTCTACATTTCAAAGCTCAAAAACCCTTAGTCTTGAAAGGAATAAAAAAGCTTATTTTCTGCCCTGAATTTTCACTCCAATTAAGTGTTGCTTTCTCAAACAGTAAGCATCTCCACTAGATGTTAGGATTTATTTTTTTATTTAATTTTTTTTTTTTGCCTTTAACAAAGAGCATGATGATTGCTCCCTCATGAATAACTGATCATCAGAGAAAGTCTCAAATGCATTCCATTGATTAGCATCTCCAAGTAAAACACAGGTTTTAAATCCTGGCTAGGATTTCCACCTGATTATCTCTGGGAGAAAGAAAACACAAAATACCCAGAGGAGAGATTTTAAGTTTATTTTCTCTTTTTGTACTTTTCGTAAAGAATTTCTTTCCAAACCAATCAGCAGCCCATTGGCTGAAACGCAGGGCTGGCTCATTGGAAATTCAAGCTTAAAATGGGCAGTGGGAAGCTGTCTTTTTGTGCAATATCTCAAGAAAAATAAAACAAATTCGATCATTATGAAGTCTGTGTTGCTTCACGATTGTGCTGCACTCCTTGACATCCCTGCCATTTTATGAATAACGAGAGCTCTTAGCATTGACAGCCCGCCTTGTCCTAACTTGAGATTAGCATTAGTCACCCTGGACACCTGCTTAGAGGTCTTCAACAACTCTATTTTTTTTTCTGGAAGTAGAACAGGAAAGCATTCAGTTTTAGCTAGCATTTACTAGGTCCTCTTTCTGTGTCAGATTCCATGCTAGAAGGTTTTTGGAACTAAATATTGAAGACTAGGAGCAGAGTGTATAGCTTCCCAGAGTATGGCCAGACATAGAGCAGAATAAATTTTCCCCAGAGGAAAAAATGGAATTAGAAATCAAGACCTTGAAAATATTGCACCTACTTATGCCAACAAAATATTCAAAGAACCAGCATGAACATTTGCTCTAATGGAAGAGGAAAAAAATAAAACTTGATAAAATCCATTTCAACTATCTGATTAAGCTAAAATGTGAGTTGAAGTTGATTGTTTTATTTGGCACCTAAGTATGTGAAATGTTTTTTCTTCCCCTCTCTCTTTGCAAATTAGTAATCATGGCACGACCATGCAGAGCATCTGGCAGGTGAGAATTCTAGCAATAATTTGATTTTACTGGACTAAGTGGTGACTAGAGCAACAGAAAAAAAAGAGGTGTGTGGATTGGGGGGTCTAAATATCATCCCACACACTAGCAGACTAGTTAAGTGTGGGCTCACAACATTGAACTGAAGGGATGCTAAGGCAAGTATCATAAGTGAGCGGAAAGATGTTCCTTGAATTTTCCAGCAGTGCTTGCTCACACACTGTTTTTGGTCTTTTATCATTTCTACAGAATCTAGACATCAAACTTATCATGCTAAATGAAGAGAGTCGTGTAGGACTTTGAGAAGAGGAACAGGTAGACAAGAGATATGTTTGGGGACAGAGGGCCTGACTTTAATATTCCTAAAATCATTCCTTTTACTCTAGGTGTGACTCGTATGCTGCCCTTGACTTTGCTGCCGTCTTTTGTAGTGCGAGTCCAACATTTTTATGTGATGTGATGGAACAACTGTAACTGCTTCACTAAAAACTTTTCAGCAGTTTCCAGTGGTTATTAGAATAACATCTAAATCCTTAACAACACGACTTGTTTACAGCTCCACCCTCCCATTGTGTGTTTCAGCTATTCCAGCCATGATGAAATTGATTTCCTTGAACTGCTTTTTTTTTCTCTCTCTCTCTATCTCTCTCTCTCTCTCTCCACCCTATAATTTCACTCTTCTGTTTGTTTGTTGAGAGATAGGATCTTGCTCTGTTTCCCAGGCTGGAGTGCAGTAGAGTGATCCTATGTCAGTGCAGCCTCAAATTCCTGGACTGACAAGATCCTCCAGCCTCAGTCTCCCAAGTAGCTAGGACTACAGGCATGCACCACCACATGCTGCTAATTCTTTAAACAAATTATTATTGGTAGAGACAGGGTGTCCCTATGTTATCCAGGCTGGTCTTGAACTTCTGGGCTCAAGCAATCCACCTCCCTTGGCCTCCCAAAGCCCTGGGATTACAGGCATGAGCCACGGCACCCAGCCCATACTTTTACTCTTTTATTGTCTCAGACAAGAACAGATAAAGTAGGAATAAAGAAATGGTAACTCACACTCAGGTCTCACTTTGGCTGACACTTACTCCAAGATGTCTTCCCTGATCCTTGCCCCCCCACCGCCATTACCCTTGGCTTATCAATTACGGCTCACTGAACTTAATTGCCTTTTTCCTTTGCTTGTTGTTTATTTTGGCCTAGTGCCTAGCACAACACCTGGCTCAATGATTCACTCATTCACCACATATTTGTTTAATTGAATTATATTGACAGGGGAACAAGAGATCTTGGTGTTGATATCAACTCTGATATTATAACTTGAATTAACTTAACTTTTTTGGACCTTAATATTATAATCTATAAATGAGAGCTTTGATTATGATCCTTCTAATATGATGCTTGGCTTTCTAAAAATATTTTCCCCAAGTAAAGTAGCATATCCATAGAAAGGAATTTAGTCATTTCCTCAATTTCAATATTCAGGAATGACAGACTGATAGTCAGATTACAGCATTAACACGGAACTGAAAGACTGCATAAGTTGATATCTCAAATAATCATAAAATTTCAACTAATGGTTTTTAGAAAGTGCCCACATTATCATAATAATGATTAAGTTCTAGTTTTTGTAATGATTCTATTCACATTTAATGGTCTTGCTACATAACTCGATCAATCCTCATACAACCATACAATTTATTGTATGCTTTAGTTAACTGTAGCAGAACTTTTTTCTCAATCTGAAAGTTGATTTGGTAAATCCTCCTCAGATGACTTCTGAGTTGAACTGGTGGGAAGAAAAATCAGAGGAAGAAAAAATAGACATTTTTATTGTTAAAAGAGAAGATAAATCTATCCTGAATAGAGCTGCTATTAATATTCTGAACCACATGGTCAAACAAAGTTATGTTTCCTGTACAGGATAAGAAGCTGTAGGGTAATAAACAAGACTTTCCATAGCTTCAATTTTCCAGCTGTTTGTGGAAATACTTGACATTTAACAACATGCGCTCGGCTGTTCAACAGAAAATGGAATTATCACATCTTTCTAGCAACTGTCCATAAGGCAGATCTCGTTCCACACTGCTGCCAGATGTCTTCTTGAGCCTAGAGTAGAATTCCCTGCAGAGAAAATTTCAAATGCAGTGAAAATAAAGGGTGGGGGGACATTTAAAGCAATGGCAAGAAATAGCTCTTAAATGCAGCAATTTTCTAGACTATGTCTTATTCTTATGGTGAGAATTTTTTTAAAAAGTGTGTATTCTGACACATCAGTCATCTCTCCTATCCTCAGTTTCACAAAAGGAACAATTCGTAGCAAATAAAAGATGATATTATGTCATTGTCATCCTTGCCAAGCTCATGTATTTTCTTCATTGGTAAGAAGGTTAAAAATGTAACATTCTATTGGAAGAAGCACAAAAATGAGATGTGGGGAGCTTATTTAGTGATTCATCCCCCCTCCCACTTTTTTCTTTGCTGGAATCCTATGACTTCTGAACAATGCCATTGCTAAGCAACAGATCAGACACTTCCTTGCAAGATGCAGGTGAATCAGAAGGTATAATGTGAGCTTAGTCAGAACCCTCATGGATGCAGTAGCCCTCTGCACCTCAGGGTGAGAGGCAGGAGCAACTCTTCCCTTGTGCTCTACATTTTCCATGGTGATGGAAATTGGGCACCTATCAGGACACAAGAGGCCAGGTTATCCTTAAAAATGCAAATTTGGCCAGATGCATTGGTTTATGCCTGTAAACACAGCACTTTGGGAGGCTGAGGTGGGAGGCTTATTTGAGCTCAGGATCTCGAGGCTGCAGTGAACCATGATCACATCACTGATGGAATTATCACATCTTTCCAGCAACTGTCCACAAGGCAGATCATCCCATTCTGGGAGACAGAGTGAGATCTTGTCTCGAAAAAAAAAAAAAAAAATTCTTAATTTGCCTAAGCCATTTAATGTCTTTAGGCTTCAATTCTCCAAACTGTAAAATAAGGCAGTTGTGCTGGATTCATTGTTTCTCACACTTTATGTGCATCAGAATAATCTGAAGGAAGTATTCCAATAATTTTTGAATTAATAGATTTTTATAGATTTTATCAAGGCATGTGTAGTTTTAAACAGTTTCCCCTAGTCATTCTGATACAAACCAAAGATTAGGATTGCTCAGAGTAAATAGTTTGTAGAATCCTTTCTATTCTAATATTCTTTGGGGTTAAATTTTGAATTAAATGAATTCAAAATGGTTCATTGGGTAAAAATTGAGTGGATAACTCCTTAGGAGGATCCTGTCATCACTGACCCAGGGAAGCTTTGCCTCTTTCATATCTTCATTTCACTTAACTTTCTAATCATGAGAAGCAATGGCATTATCTAACTTCTCAGGTCCTTGAAGCTACTTTAATTCCTTCTCTTTCATTTTCCGTGTGCAATTAATGCTTGTAATGATAACAGTAGCTAAGACTTAAGTAGCACATATATTGTGCTAGGAATTCTCCAAAGTCCTTTATTTTTATTAAAGAATTTAATCTTTATAACAGCTCTATACAATAAGAATAATAATTAGCCCTATTTTGCAGATGAGGAAAATTAGGCACAGATAAGTTAAATAATTTACTCAAGCTCCCATACATAATAGTAAACCCAGGCAGTATTGCACCAATGTTCATACTTACCACTATGCTGTTCTGAATCTAGTTTATTGGTGCAGTTTTGCTATTTGCATAATTTATAGTGTCTTCTGATTTATTTTTCTCTTTTAATTACTACTACCAAATGCCTGATTTATGTTGATGCCAATTCACCATAAATAACTTCAGAATTTACTGAGCACCTTAAAATGTGAGTAGAATTGTGCTCCAGTAGGTAATGATAAGGTCTCTTCTTTTAAGGAACTGCATAGTGTTTTTAATAAACTTGTAGGTTTTCTTACTTGGATCTGTCTGACACCATTTCTACAAGTGGCTTTGAATACAAATTTGCTAACCAATTTCCAAATGCTTCACATTACACTTTCACTTTCAGTAATTAAAAATATTTTATCCTCTACTTCCATTATAACTAAAGGTACAACTGCTGGTAGTCTTTTGGTGAACTCTCATACAAAGCAGTCAAGATATTACTTAGAAATGTTACCTTTACATAAATGTTCTAACTCAATCTTTACCCAAGTCTTTGAAAGTCCTATTAGAATTCACATTTACTAAGAAATCTTAATTCAAATTAAGAAAAACTGATTTTCAAAGCATTTCTAACTCCCAAAAGAAGAGTTTGCAATTGTGATTGTGGATGTTTCTGAATATATCTGTGGAACATTCACACATAGATGATATTCAGAATTTTATATAAGAAAACTACTATTAATTCTGGTCTTAGCAAGTGAATCTGATATCATAAAAGCACTCATGTGTCAAAATTTAATTCTCAAAATGTTAGAAACATAATTCTTATGTAAATAAATAGTGATCATTTGTCAAATTTTTATTTAATTTATTAATGAGGGAAGCAGTGATTTGAGAAAAGTGATTCAAAAAATATATGAAGTAAATGATTTTATATAATCAATGAAATAAAAAAGAATACTAATGTAAGCTTCTTATATTCAATTTAAAATGTAGATTGGGCCAAGCATGGTGGCTCACCCCTGGAATCCCAGCCCTTTGGGAGCCCAAGGAGGGTGGATCACTTGAGGTCTAAAGTTCGAGAGCAGCCTGGCCAACATGGTGAAACCCCATCTCTACTAAAAATACAAAAATTATCCTGGTGTGATGGTGGGTGCCTGTAATTCCAACTACTCAAGAGGCTGAGGGAGGAGAATCACTTGAACCCAGGAGGCAGAGGTTGCAGTGAGCCAATATCCCACCACTACATCCCAGTCTGGGCAACAGAGGGAGACTCTATCACAAAAACAAAATAAAAAAGCAACAAAAAAAGTAGACAGATTCATATCTTAGATTGCAATAAAGTCATAGACTTTATCTTTCCTTGTTACAAGAAATAAAGTCATCTTGATTTACTATTGTTCTAAAAGTTAACCTCTAGCTATATGAAAATGTAAAGTATCTTAAACTTAATCAGTAGTAAACATCATTTCAAACACACACTCCAAAATAGTAAGTTGGCCCGTAGATAAAATTATGCACAATGATTTAGCATAGTATTAAACTTTTACACAAACTCTTGCTTTATTTTCAATGAATGGATAATTAGAATACATTTTTATTTCATAGAATCCATTATGCATTCAGAAAGTTAACTCATTTTGGTGGATTACAGTTATTTTAGTGTTAAACTTAGCATTATGGGACAGATCTCTACCCCAGAAAAAATTACTGTAGGTCACAAGTGTTTGTATTAGCACAGGTTAGACTTAAGTCCATGAGACCATGAAGGAAGCTACTGTAATAGTCCATGCAGTATATGCTAGATGAGAGAATGACAGCTGCTGGTCTAGCATTTATTGTCTGGTCGATGGATAAATGCTTAATTTCCTGATAACTTAAGTCCACAATAAATGCTTGTACAGGGAAAGGCAGTTACTGGTACATAACAGTTGGTGCATAAATATTCACTAAGTAAATATGTGTAGGTATAACTTTAAGATAAATAACTGATTTCAACACTATCTACTATCGTCTGAATGTCTGCATCCCCCAAAAGTTCATATGCTAAAACCGAATCACCAAGACGATAGTCTTAGGAGGTAGGTCTTTGGGGAGGTGATACATAGGCAGGCCTTTTGGGAGAGTTCTGTCCTCATGAATGAAATGAGTTCTGTTATGAAAGAGCCCCCATAGAGCTGCCTTGTTTCTGCCACCATGTGAAGACACAGCAAGAAGGCACCAATCTATGAGGAATCTGTTCCTCACCAGACACCAGATCTGCCAGGGCCTTGATTTTGGACTTCCTTGCCCACAGAACTGTAAGAAATAAATGGTTGCTGTTTATATCCACCCAGTTTAGGATATTTTTGTTATAGGAGGCCAGACGGACTAACACTACTTGACAGTAAAAATAAATAAATAGAAGATTGATTGGATGACCAGTTCTTTTCAAAATATTCCAAGTCTTGAGATTATTTTTTCTTACTGATTTTATTATCTGTCATTACTGTATCTACTAGTATCTTAATGACCCCAAATGAAATGCACTAATATTTTCCTTGCCATTTATTTGTTGTCCTTGTACTTGCCATTCCTTCTGTGGGGAATGTTCTTCCCTCAGATATCTACATGGCTCACTCATTTCTTTCAGGTTTCTGTTCATGAGGCATCCACAGGTACTTCCTGTGACCACCTTCCCTGAGAAAACAATTTTACTCTAGGTTCTCTTTCTTCTGCTTTACTTTTCTCCATAACTACAGATATTAACATCAGTATGTATTTATTTATTTTAAATACACTTTCTCTCTTAGAGCATTTTATGTTCACAACAAAATTATGCATTAGCTACAGAGTTCCCCTAAACATCCTGCTTCCCCCACCACACACATAGACTTTCCCACTATCAGCATCCACCACTAGAAATGGTACATCTGTTAAAAATCAATGAACTTACATTGACAAATCACCATTATCACCCAAAGTCCGTAGCTCACCTTAGTTCACTGTTGGTGTTGTACTGCAGGTGTTGGCAAATGTATAATGGTACGTATTTACCATTATAGTATCATACAGAATAGTTTAACTGCCCGAAAATTCCTCTGTGTTCTGCCTAGTCATCCCTCCCCTCACCCCCATAAACCACTAATCTTTTTATTTTCGTAGTAGTCAAAAGAAGCCTCCAGAATTCTTATCAGATACTCTGAAGGAATGGTAAAATCTTTAGATTATAGAAACCGTATTGCATACGAGCCTTCAACTTCCAAACACCTAATTAAAATGTTTCTGTCATAGAAGAATTATGAGACTTGCTGAATGATCAATTGATTAATTGATTTTAGGAAGTGGAAAAAAGAAAGATCTGGTACACAGAATAGCATAGAAAAGCGGTGTTAATCATTTTAGCAGCAATTATTTATTTTCTTACTGTATGTTTTGTTTAATCTACCCAACTCTTGTTGCTTTTGAATGGGATGGGGCTAAATCCATATGATGAGTGATAGGCTATGTGTTCAGAGGATTCCAATAAGACTTTGCTCTAATGTCAGGAAATGACTTAAACGTCTGATCTGGACGATCTGTACATACCTGCAGAGTCAAGCGTGTCTGAGTTGCTTCTCCTAATGTTTCCAGGAAACTAACTACCATGCCAAGTACATGACTTGTTGCCTGGCAACCTCAGGACCCAGCTTTCACTACATTTTGTAAGCACTTCTCTGTTGCAGGTTTATGTTATTTTGGGAACTCACCTCAGAACCCTATGACCTCGTGTCCACAATCAAAGCAAAGTCAAAGATGGAGAAAATTTTCTAGAACATTTATAAAATAATCTTATTGCCATAATTACTCCAAACTTTTGAAAAAAAATTGCCAGATTTTGATGCACTTTAGCATAATCAAAGTCATGATTATTTAATGGGTGTACAGAATCCACTTATTTTCTAGGTTGAACTAGAGTGATAATTTTTAAGTTATGGTTCAGAGACGACAGCATATTGTAGGAATTAGAAACTTGCCTCTTTCAATAGGTAGGGCCAGTTGACCCTCAACTGCATGATAAATCTAATTGTTGCTATCAGTTTTGCAATACATACATGAACAAACAGTATGTTAAGCTCTTCACATAAAATAATATATTTAATCATCACGAAGACCATATGAGGTAGAGGCAATATTTTTTTTTTTTTTTTGCAGCACACATGATACAAACCCGTCTGTACAGAAACATTAAGTTCAGTAGTTTTCCTTTATCCATGATTTTGCTTTTCATGGTTTCAGTTACTTGCTTTCAACTGAATATTGGAAATATTCAATAGAAAATTCCAAAAATAAACAATTCATAAGTTTTAAATTGTGAGCCATTGTGAGTAGTGTGATATCTTGCTCTGTTCTGTTCCATCCAAAGGATGTAAATCATTCCTTTGTCCACAGTGTGTATTAAGTGCTTAGTTAAGATGGAAAAGATATTAAATTTGTGGGTGGAAGACATGAACAGAAATGTGTTACAATCTGTGGTTTCAGGCATCTACTGAGGGTCTTGGAATGTATCCCCGGTGAATAGAGGGCAATGCTGTAATTTAAAGAAATTTCATAAAGTCACAATTAATGGTTAAGCTAGGATTTGGACTCATGCAGTTTGACTCTAGTTTTTGTTTTCTTAAGGCTCCAGAACCAATTCTGACCTCAACAGGAATGTAAGAAATTATAGGATAACACATCAGTGACTTCAATGAATTTAGTTGTTTCTAGGCAAACTCTAAATGGCCTTACTCAGACAATTAGATCTTGCATTATTACTGAGGCCTAATGTCCCCCTCCTAGGAACATTCTATTTACCAAATCCTGATCCTTCCCAATAAGAAGGATAAATTTCTGCCCAGTAACTTCACAACTTAGGTAAGAAACATTATTTTTGAAGGTTGGTTTACTCATTCACTCAGTTTACTGGTTTGTCAACTATTATTTGCCAGCAATACACTTTGTGCTAGGAATACAGAAGATAATAATTCCAAGAGGCATGATTCTTAAAAATTGAAACATGATCTTTGGTTTCATAGTGATTTTGTGATTTAACCTTGTTTCCTCATTGATAAAATCACGACAGTAACAGAGCTGCTAGCTAATGGGTTGTTAATGAGGTTTAAATGAGATAATGCAGTGAAAGTACATAATGCCTGGCAAAGGGTACTCAGCAGAAAAATACATGGTTTCAGGCATTAGCAGCACAAGGTTCAATTGGAGCCAAAAACTCACAGAATATCACACTCCTACGAGTTAAAGGAAATAATAAGGATACACACAAATGGTAAGAGAAATAGTTTGAGGACATCCGAAAGGAGGGGCATGGAGTGGACACCACAAGCAACAGCCGGGAGATGAACAGATATTTATTGAGTGCCCACTATGTGCTAGGCATTGTTCTAGGTGAGAGGAATGTGACAGTGACCAAAAAAGTTCCTGTTCCCATAAAAATTATATTGTAATAGGAGAAACAGATATAGACAAATATATGCTATGTAAAAAAATACATATGCTATTTAAAATTAGAAAAGTGCTGTGAAGCTATTTGAACCAAAATTAAACCTGCAAGAGGGAGCACGCCCTGCAGATAGATGGGGTTGAGGAAAGACCAGCTTTATGTGGAAGGGAGGAATAAATGCACGGGCTCTGAATCAGAAGCATGTGACAAGGAAGCTAATATGTTTGAAGACAGTGAGTTAGTAGGAGACTGGCAGAAGACGTAGCTAGAAAGCTGGCAGCGGCATTGATCATGTAGGAGTGTGTAAGCCACGTAAGAATTTGGGTGAGGTGTATTAGGAATGCGGGACAAATTGTCGACATACTTATGTTATTTATTAAGGTCTATAAATTAGTTCATTTAAGTATTATCAAAAACTCATTTATTCTCATAGAATCACAGATTATTAAAGATGGAAAGGACATTCACATTATCCATTTTGGCTGTAAATCTTATACTTGATTCTCTCATACAATGTCAAAATAACAGCAACCACAGTAATGACTTAGGTGTTTAGTGAGTGCTTACGTATTAATCATTGTGCAAACAATGTTATACACTCTTTTCATTTTAGTGTTGGAAACAGATTATAAAAATAAGTCTCACAGAATTAAAGTGGCATCACTTCCAGAGAACCATCCAGTTCTGCTTGAATAATGCCGAAGTGGGGAAACTTACCATGTTAGGACAGGGTTGACAATGAGCATATGCAATTTCTCTTTGTGATGATATGAGTCATTTTGCTTTCCATCTTTCTCATCTACCCTTCCTTTATTTTGTTTTGCAAACTTCTTTTAAGGTATGTGTGTGTATATGTGTGTGTGGGGGCGAGGGGGAGGGCATTTTCTTCCCCAAATAGGTGTGACTGGCATGGTCACTAGGGGAGTTTGAGTAGGAAGAGGATTTCCAAAATGAAATTAGGGAGACTGACAGTATCATAAAAGCCCTCACAAGGCCAATTTTAAATGTTCCAAGGTTAAGTGTCAATTGCTAAGTCATATACTCAGAAACCTCAAGACATGTATTGTTCAATCAGAGGCAGACTTACATTAACCAAGGTCACAAGTACTGAAGTACAAGATCAGTAAATCCATTTATTATTGAGGAATACAAATTATGAATGCTAAGGAGACTGGAAACTTGGGCTCTTCATCCAATGTGTTATTGTCCTGTGAGTATACAAAATATAAACCTAGAGTATAATGAGAAGATTGCATGGAACAAGAACAAAATAGTTAGATCATTTAAATTTCTACTGATACCAAGCTAAGACTCTTGGTATCAATAATACAGGTAGGATGATGAGTCCTTAGGCTGACCAGCCCACCAGACAGTGCTCAGATGAGCACTGTGAATATTTCCCAAGTGTTTCTTCATTGTTCATGGTTTTGGGGTTGAATTACCTTCCTTATTTTTTTAAATGTAGCACAACAATAAACAGAGATCCCATATGGACCATTTCTTACATGGTAATGCTTTACAGATACCACAGTCTAGCAAGAGTAATTAAAAAACAATTCTAGCCTTTACTTGTAGCTTTCAGTGAACATTAATGAGGATCCAATTCTTAACCCACAGCAGGAATGCACAAATGGAATTCCTCTTCAACTGCACTTCAATTCTCTCACAAACTACAGGTGCTTTGAGCCTCCCATTATGTAATTACTTTCAGATCTCTCCACAAAACACCCCAAGATATCCTGCCTGTAAGGAATCTGTGCTTTCCTCCTTCCCTAGCCTCCTGCTGGATCCCCACTCCCTGAGAGTGGCTATTTACTTTTATAGTCCCTCTCATCAGCTGTGCCAAGTTGCTGTTAGAGGGTTGGAAGGACTGGCAGCCACCATGTCTGAGTCTCCCTCTATCTGCAACAGTAAAGTTCACAGAGTGCCTTGGGAATGCGTTTCTTCTCACACTCAGCCTGATTTTCTCAGGCGAAATTCTAATAGAGAATTCTCAAGGATAAGTTCTGATCAATAACATTCTCCATCTTGTTATATCTATATATAGTATCACAATAAGATACCTGAGGATCAGGTCAAGGTCTCTTCAAGGTGACCTTGTTCATCTCTTCTCTGAACCATTATCAGGAGATAATATAATCCAACTATCTAAGGAAGGTATTATTTTGTTCATGTTCAAGTTATTAAGCAACATTTTACAGTAGCCCCTGGACTTTAGTACTTCATGATTATCCAGAGTTCGTTGATATTTTCACAACATTCATGTCCTTTTCTTGCTCAGGGTCCACCTTTGTTGTATCTCTATTAAAGCAGCAAAGATAGTAACTTTAATTCATAACTGCCTGAAATATTTGTTGAAAGAACTGAGGTAGCCTGTAAGTGAGTTCTATAACCTTTTATTTAGATCCTATCTGGTCACCTACCAACACGCTTTTGGCAAAAAGGGAATAATACCAGTTTGGTATCATGCAACTGGATATTGAGAGACCACATACACTCTATAGGCAAAGATTCACACACTGGAACTATTTTCATGGAAAATACTTAATGTATCAAGATTTTTGTAGAAATTATGTCAAAGTATGGTGTTTGGAATTATTGAAAAATGTTATTTGACCTCACTGTTGAGGAGTTCTGGGTTTCTGAGCTCTCTTCTCACCCAGTTCATACATGATGTCACATTATTTAAGTCTTCAACCTACTTTTTATGATACCAATATCAGCTTTGACCAGTACATCTTAGAACACATTTTCTGTTGTTTTTCTCTCCTTTCTTATTTCTGACCTTAGACTTCATCTTCTTTTAATCACCTGCTATTGCTAAATGGTACTTGATACAAAGCACTATTTTTCCAGCATTATATTTTTATCTCCTACTTCAGTGATTTGTCAAATGCTACCTCTGTTTATGCTGCCTTTCTCCCACCCTTTGTGTATATGGATCTAGCTTAGCCCCCAGAAACCTTGAACTCTGTGAAAAACTCTACGGCCAATCACCCACTAAATTATGCCTAGTAACACCAAGTGGATATGGAAGGGAATTTTAAAGAAAAGTACATTTTTTTATGTAAATAAGAACATTTTTACCATATAAATTGTGCACACAATTGGACATTTAGCCCACTCATAACTAAGAAAAAAAGGGGTTATTGTTTGTGGCGCACAGAATGAAATGAAAATCATGCCCATTACATTTAGCTCCCAAAGTCCTTTTATCCACACTCCTTTAACTGGTTGTAATTCCAGTGGAATCTCAGAATTTGTAGGGTAATCAGAGATCATCTTGTCAAATTCCTTGCTTATGTATAAAGTTTCACTTAAAAATTCCAAACTAACAAATGTCTATTTTTTTCTAGACCCTTCTCATGTAGCTTTGATCTCTGAAGAACCAATTTTGCACTCAGGAAAATCATAATCACGTTAATATAGATATTAATTTAAAAGAATGATTGCTGGACAAGCAATGGTTTTCATCACACGTAATTCCCACTTAACTAATACACATTATTCTCATTGTACAATGTAGGCATCAGAAGGGTTGGCGAGAAATTTCAGAAGTCTGGACATGAAATATGAGTCTTAGGAAAGGTAAGATAGCATTCATTATTTAAAACCAGTAGCCTCAGACAATACCCCAAACTGCATATTACATAGGTAGCTGAAAATGCCAGTTCATATGAGTAATCGATATTTTTGCCATTAGCCCTAATTGTGATCCAAATTAGCCTGTCAGTTCTAAACCCTGAATTGCTATCCTAACATCATGGAATTCTTTGGCAAACTAGAAATAACCAGATATGATTATTATTTTCCCAAATAAAAGGGTTTCAAATACTGGAGTAATGGATTCCAGCTAGAAAGAGTACAACTGTCAAAGATGGAGTATGACAATTTTATGATAACTGAGATGCTCCTATACACACACACACATACACGTGCACGTGCACACACACAATTTCCCCACAGTTAAAAAACATTACGCCAAAGCCGGCTTTGGCACTACAAAAGCTCAATTTGAAGAGTACATGGGCAGGGAAGGAGCTGCTTTAACAATCTGAGCCTGCTTTCTGAGAGAAATGGGGGCGTGGTTACGGCTTTGACTTCTCTTCCTTGGGAAAGAGCCTGCTCCCCAACTTCTAAATGGCTGTTTGAATCCGGGGGTATTGGTACGGAGGCCCATGATCCAGCTGTTGTATGGTCTCTGGGCCGTCTTGCAGAGAAATTATGACCTACAACATCAGAAGAATGATGTGAACTCAACTCAAGATTTGCATAAACTGAACATTAGCAAGTCCTAATATTTAAAGTGGGATAACTAAGTAAAAACTCTCTCCAAGCTGTCTGACAGCCTTATGAATATGCAGATAGGAAACCAAAGACTGACTTCCAGTTGTCTGTAGTAAATACATCCGCCGAAATGTGCAGCCAAAGCGGAGGATTTAAGTCTACACAGTGTTTTCTTCTAAGTACAACACTTAGAGGTAAGTTTTATTATAATGCACTGAATCTATTGAGCATTCAAATCAGCTGATAGCATTTTTAAATCACAGTTATTTTGGCATTTCTTATTGAAAGCAATAGAAGAGCATCCAGAAGTAATAAATTTGTTTGTGAAAAGCAGCCTCGCTCGTGGTGGTTGTACATTGTTGTAACTAGGACAAAATTATGCAATAAATTTACAGATGTATTGCCTTTATTGTTAGCAATGGCCAGCTTTTCCCTGTTTATTTTAAGCATGTTTACACATAGAATTACTTATGTTTTAATCATCACTGCATGGGCATATACTTTAACCAAACTATTTCTACTACAAGACAAAGCTCAGGCTATTTTAATGGATGACATGCCTTCCCAAACCTTGGATTTGCAGCAGGTACTTAGATCAAAAATGTTTTGACATATTCCAGGAAATCATTAGTTTTAAATGCATAATTCTGTCTGAATAACTCTCTCAATTGCTCTCTACTCCCTAAGTGTACGTGGTGAATGGCAGGGAAGAGGTGTCTCAGTTACTCCTGACAAAGTAGATTGGACAATTATTTAAAATATGTATTTTTTATTTATTAGGAGTGGATGGGAAGCTCATTCTAAGGTGTCCTTAGTCTCCAGTTTAATAAGTTTGACTATCACATCTATAATCTTCTTTCTGTTCAGGAGGCATTTAATTCCCTACCTTCTCACTCAATGCTGGGATAGCTAAGTAATTATACTTTATTTGCTCTGCAATTTGAGTAAACCATGTGGAATTTTCCTTCCTCTATATTTAAAACATGGAACAAATTTGAAGATTTAGTATGAAACAAAAGAAGAAATCTGTTTCTAAGGGGATAAAACAAGAATACAAGTTTCACATATTTTTAGTTACAGGAAAGAGTGAGTATTTGGGCAGTTTAGCACTGTGTTTCTACAAGGGAAAAGAAAAAAAAAATAAAGTGAACAGATGCCTGAATTCATAGGAGCCCTTGTGGCTTGCATAGTTGAGGCCAGCCCTATTTTATAGTGATTTAATTCCGGAAGTGAGGACATTATAGAATGCAGCCAGGGGACAGAGCTTTCAAGATAGACTGGAATCATTTCCTTGATTGAAATTTAAAAGTTCTTCTCTCTTTCCACTCCTCAACTTTCATCTCTGTATCTTTTTCCTCTCCAGGATGCAGCAACATTGGTAACAACTTAAGCAAGTGACAGAATGGTAGCTCAGTGTGAGCAAAAAATAAATGGGAGTCCAGAGGGGAAAACATTTCCCTAACTGGGTACTCCAATCTTTCATTGCTGGCTTGAGAAATAATCTTTGATTGCATCTCCAAGGCTACAGAAGTCGCAAACTGTGCCGTTCTGCTGCCTGGTAATCAGCCAAGAGTGATTAACCTGGATTATCACACCTCTTCATCAAGAACTGTGGTCCTGTCCTCAGCTTTCTCTACTCAACTCCCAACCTAAGTCATCTTTAGTGTCTCCATCTTCATTGGTGGTTTTATTACCCCATCCTGCCACTCAAGATGGAAGCCTTAAGAATCTTGCTTTGTGCCCACCTCTTGCTCACTCCACCCTACCTGCATATTTCATATCCTATTGATTCTGCTTCCTAAACATTCTGGAAAATGTTTCAGTTTCTCGATGTTGCCCCCTCTTTCTCTCTAAACCTCCATACACATTGTTTCCTCCCCTTGGAGCCACCACTTCATCCCTGTACCCTATGCCTCCTACACACCTCCCCACACAAGCTCCTCACACCCTTTCACATTCAGGCAACCCTTCTCTTCCTTCAGACCCAAGTTTAAGATGACTGTCACTCCAGGAAGTGCAGAGGTTAAGATGGGAGGTAGACTAACTGGCTCCACAGTTTGCACCTTCACTTACTAGTTATGTGTCCTGTAACACAGCTTTGACATCTCTTTGCTTTAATTTCCTTCTGTTCAAAATGGGGATAATAAGAACAGCAACATTAATGAATTGTTATGAATGTTAATGAGCCTGTTCCTTCCTACTCAATAAGTGATCCCCAGAACAGTACCAGTCGTACCAGCTGGAAGCTTATGGAGATGCAGAATGATGGATCTACCCCTGTATTTGCTGTACCTGAATCTGCATTTAAACAAGATTCTCAGGTGATACATACACATGTTAAAGTTAATTTTTTTTTGTTTTTTTTTTTAGTAGAGTTGGGGTTTCACCATGTTAGCCAGGATGGTTTCGATCTCCTGACCTCGTGATCTGCCTGCCTTGGCCTCCCAAAGTGCTGGGATTACAGGTGTGAGCCACTGCGCCCGGCCTACACATGTTAAAGTTAAAAGAGGAGTAAACAAATGAATATAAGGAGTTTAGTGCAAAGCCTGGTGTAATTTAATATGTGATTATCATTATCATTTTCATTATTTTTATTCCCAGTTCCTAACCTATCCTATGTTCCCCCACCCCCACCTTTTTTTTTTTTTTCAGTCGATCTTTTGCTCTATCGCCCAGGCTGGAGTGCAGTGGCACGATCTCGGCTCACTGCAGCCTCCGTCTCCTGGTCTCAAGCGATTCTCCTGCCTCAGCCTCCCAAATAGCTGGGACTACAGGTGCCCAGATAATTTTTGTATTTTTAGTAGAGACGAGGTTTCGCCACGTTGGCCAGGCTTATCTCAAACTCCTGACTTCAAGTGATCCATGCGCCTTGGCCTACCAACGTGTTAGGATTACAGGCATGAGCCACTACGCCTGGCCCTATGTTTCCTATTGTATTCTTTTATCAGCCCTGTACTTGTAGTTTTATGCATTTATGCATTTATGTATGCATTACATACTACAGTAAATGTTTATAAACCTGTTTCTGCTATTAGGCTATATGCTCTGTGTCAGTGTTCATCTTTTGAATGCCATATTTCTAGAACCTCAAGTAGGGACTGGTAAACACAAAGTGCCCAAGAAATCTTAGTCAAATAAGTAAGTCCCACATTTGGATTCTTCTATTCTCAATGATGGGTCCCTGATCCAAATTACCTTTTTTTTTTTTTTTTTTTTTTTTTGGCATAGGCTATGTAAACATCTGCTTAGCCAGTGTTTCTGTTTTAAGTTTCTTTCTACTTCAGTATATTCTGGTTAGTTCCATTCATGAAGGGATAGAAAACTAGACATTTTCCTCCTGGTTAGCTACTTGAGCATCATAGTCTCATCAACATCAACAATGCTAGAAGACAGGAGAAGTATCTTGCACAACTGAGGCAAGTTATGTTGCTAGAAGAAAATGAGAGAAATTTACCCCTTGACCTTATCTACATGGCTGATAAGCCTACTCTATGGGCTATGGACTGAGTTCCAAAGAGTAGATGACAATAGGAGCATGCATGCTAGTCAGAGACTGCTGAGACAAAGAAATGAGTGCATCTAAGGAAAGTATGCCTGATGCTGCCAGCACAGAGTCTAGCAGAGTGAAAGGTCTGCTTAAAATGTCTGCCATGATTCTGGGGACCTAGAAGGCTGCAGGCTGTACCTGCTCTTGATAGTTCTCTAGGCTTTCTAACTGCTCAAGCAGCTAAATTAGGAGTGATGTCCAAGAGATGGTGGGCAGCAAACTCACTATCACCAAGTGTGATCAGCCTTGTAGAATGGTAACTCCACCTCCCACCAGGGTTTTCTGTAGAATGTGGGGAGGAGGAGAAAGGGGGAGGGAAAGTAAGTCACACACCCATCTGCCAACGGGGGCTCAGGGCTGGATGCTCCTTCTGAGTTCCCAAAACTGGCAGTGATGAAGGCTAATAGGATATAAATAGGATTGAATATTTACCCTCAAATTAGGTGTCATTAAAATGGATTGCAACACCAATCACCGGATGAGCTAGTTATCTTAATGAATGCCTATTATTATAGGTAGCACTAAGATTACTTTCTACTGTTTCTTCCCTCTATCCCATACTCTTTGTCCTAGATTGTGAAAGAGTAGGGAATTAACTAAAGTGATGACAATTATTTTTAAAAATCAGAAATATCTCTTTTTTGTACATTGCTCTGTTGAGGGTGTTCAATCCAATCTATAATAAAATTATGAAAGGAAGTGCATGGAAGATCAGTTCCTTTTCCTAATTTAATCTAACATCTTTCTGCTGCCTTCTGACTGTTGGAAATAGATTAGATTTTCATAATGCATGTCATTTATAGTCATTGTAGAGGAAGGTTTGGGGGATCTCTTCTCTCATATTTTTATCAGAAGGTGATTTAATTCTTCATGAGTCTTGATATAATCTTTGATTTCTACTTTCCCTCCCCCATAAAATTGATGAACTAGTATTGCATCTTAATCACAATCCATTATATTAATAGCTCTTTCATCTGAAGTGCTACCCAATCATCACTACATTTAATCCTCACAACCTTTCTTTAGGACTGTTATTTCATCTCCACTTTCTTAAAGGGAATTGGGCCTCAGAAAGTTCTAGAAAGTTTCCTCAGCTAGTCTATACAACCAAGAAAACTAGAAACCAGTTTTGGTCACTTGGGGAAATAATGACATGTAGATAAAGTTGAAAATTGAAATGCAATTGTGACTGACATGATGTCCTGGAATGCCGTGTGTATACAAGGGAACAGGTTCTCTAGACTCCTTGCATCATTCAGGGCCATGAACTTGATGGCACCAGGGGAACGTGGAGAAGCTGACGATGCCACATGAAGTCCACACCAAATATCATCCTTGAGAATCTTTAGCTTTTTTAAAATTTTTAATTTTTTTTCTCACGAACCAATCATGCACAGAATGCAGAGGAGATTTCCAAGGCCCTGGAGGATTGAGAGTACACAAAAAAGAAGGCAGCCTGGACTCTAGATTTCCCACTAAAAGAAGAGCTTCCCAAGAGATCCCCTTGACCACACACATCTTCACTGGAGTTGGAGTGAGTCAGGAGATATATATATATATATATATATATATATATATATATATATATATTTCATTAAACCACTGAGATTTTAGGGTTATTTATTACAGAAGTCAGAAAACTTACGGTGAATACAGATATCGAACCAAAAGTAATTATATCTATGAATTACTCTCACAGGAGAGAACTCTAGTTTTCTCCCTTGTTTAAATTGTTAGTCCTTGATTTATTGAAATGCCTTTCCTACAATATAGAATGAGATAATGAACCTGAATGATAATTTATTGAGTCCAAATCGTGCTTGTGATTTGTTTTTTTTTTTCCTCATTCAAAAAATCCTTTTGAGTAAAAGGGTAACAGAAAAATACTTCTTTGTTTGCAGGAAAAAGTACATAATTTAGTTGTATTTAAATACGGAGGTGAACCTAGGGTTTTTTCCAAGCCTGGAAAATAGAACAGAAATTTAGCAGGAAGGTATGGCACTGATATATGAGGTATAAATACCAAAGGCAGAAATTAATTATGTCTGAGAGATGTTCCTGGAAAGCTGTTAATCCATTGTTTTTCACCCGTTGTCAGAGCAACCACTAGAGATGAGTGGACTGTCAATAATAATCAGAGTTAAGTCATGAACTCTTAAAAGTGACAAATGTAAAATCTCCAAATTGAAAGAAAGAAAAAAAAAAAACTCTTAGGTGCTGAGGCCTGAGGTCTCAGTGACAGAAGGCAGCTGGCAATGTGTTATTTGAGGTAACTTTTCTCTTTTCTCAGGAGCTGTGCTGGACAAGAACTCTGTTGTAAATGTGATGTCCCATCTACCATGGAAGTTGCGTTGTGGTCTTGTGATCATGAAAACTAGCATTAATAGCTTCATTAAAAATAAACTTGTCTGGCCGGGTGCGGTGGCTAACACCTGTAATCCCAGCACTTTGGGAGGCTGAGGCGGGCAGATAATTTGAGATCAAGAGTTAGAGACCAGCCTGGCCAACATGGTGAAACCCCATCTCTACTAAAAATACAAAAAAAATTAGACTGGCGTGGTGGTGCATGCCTGTAATCTTAGCTACTCAGAAGGCTGAGGCCGGAGAATCACGTGACTAGGGAGGCAGAGGTTGCAGTGAGTCGAGATGGCGCCACTGCACTCCAACTTGGGTGACAGAGGGAGACTCGGTCTCAAAAAAAAAAAAGAAAAAAAAAAGAAACAAAAATAATAAATATGTCTAACCAGACCCTAAAGTTCTCTTTTTTCAATTATGATTTTTAAAGCTAAAGGATTTTAGTAGAGTAACAAACAAGAAACAAGGCCAAAATAGAGGGCAGATAGAGGAATAGAGGAAACACAGAGAGAAAAGCAAAGCTTTTAGGAGAAAGGGGTGTTCAAAAATCTAGTGCAATAGGAGTGCTGCAGTCCAAGCAAAGAAAGAAAGAGGGCAGTATTGCAGGAACAGATAAAACAGGTGGAAGCCGACTCACAGAAGATATTCAGCCACATTCTTCTTAGAAAATACCATTAAGTAACAGATTTAAAGAAAATTTACTGAAAAGATCTGAGTACTATCACTTTAAACTTATATAAAAACATTGATAAAAAGAATTTTCACAATGTCATGTAATGCAATGTGGTGATTACATTCATGACAATTAGACTACAAAGGTATTATATGTATTAGATAATACCTATAATTAATGTATAATATGTATATAATGTATATGTTATATATTATACAATGTTTTATATACAAAATGTCTATAATACCTATAATAAGCATGCCTATAATATATAATACCTATATTTTTATAATAGCTATAATATAAATATTTATAATATATAATATAATATGTGTGCATTGTACAGATTTGATATATTGATAATGTCAATATATCAAATACATTTTATATGTTATATGTAATATTATATTGATCTATTATATAATAGGTATAATATATTATTATATGTTAATATATGATATGTATGATATAATGTATATGTATAATTGTATAATGCATAATGTATTTATTTATTAATATACATAATATAATTACATTATGTATTATATTACACATAAAATAATAGATATAATATATTTTACCTATTATATAATTAGATCATTATAATTATATATAACAAAATACATAGTATATGTGTATTTAACATATTTTATATATTTTATAACGTATAATACATGATTATATATAATACATACTCTAGGTAGATATAAATCTGTATAGGTATACTATATATTGTATATATAAAATACATACAATGTTTATGTTATATATGTTAAATACTATAGTCCATATGTATATAATTTATAATACCTATAATATAAAACAAGTGAGTACTCTGTGTTTGGTGAGTTTAATTTCTCATCAAATTCACACACCAATCTACAGAATTTGGATTCTAACTTAGATATATAACTCTAAATGTGATAGTCTGTCTATCATAGCATTCTACAAAGAAAGTTGGCCGAGTTTTCTTTCTGTTATTCAGTTATTAAAACTACTGGTTTTTAATTTAATTTTCTGTTAGATACCTGAGGCAAATGGCACTGAACTTCAAGAATGTACATTTTCACTATCATAAATGCCTAGAGTTATTTCACCCTAACAGTAACCTGGGAACAAAGTCAGCTTCTCTTGCCTTAGTTCAGTGTCTCTGAAGTTTGCTTAGCACTAGATCACCTGCGAAGTTGATCCTGGATTACCAGTACCAGTGCTATTCCCATAATACCCATGAAAGGAATCTGGGAATCTAGATATTAAACAAACACCCCAGGTGATTTTTATGATCAAGGATCTTTAAGAAATATTTATACCAATCAAACCCTTGCCCTTCTGAGAATCTACAAATGTTCAAGAACAATTCATAGATAATATGTTTTTAATTGTATTCTAATTAAGGCTAGGATTTCTAACTTGAAATGACTAGAGATTAAAACATTTTTTATTTCATGACATGAATCAGATATTAGGACCCATTATAAAAATATAAAATTCATATATAATCTACAATTCTCTTTATTAGCAATGTTTTATGATGCTCACCTTCAATCTCTCTCTTTTTTTTTTTTTTTTAACTGTTGGCATCTCTTAACATCTTTACTTTCACTTGAATCTCATTTCTCCTTGTATGTTCTTCAAATGAAAGAGAAGCACCCTGAGGTCTCAGACTAAATTCACTTTATATGAACAAAGTTTCACCTGTCTTGACTGCTTACTTAATATGATAATTTCTTTTAAGAATGTTAATATTGATCTTTTAATAAAGTGCATCAAGAGGAATTTTTCTCTTTGGCTGAAAGCATGAACTGGAGTGGTTAGGACTATTATTTGTGCTAAGTGTCATGATTGCTACACTGCATGTAGCCCCCTGACTCAGGTCACCATGGCAGTGCCACAACTCTTCTACAGTTTCTGAATACCTAGAAAATATTTGAAGTACTGTCTCCATCAATCTGACCTTGTCATGTCGCTAAAAGTCTGTGTATATTTTTCTTATTTGCTGTGGATAGGGGATAAAGCAGCATTGACTTGGATTATTTGTTTTATTTTAACCAATTCATGGAGTTCCACTTGAAGAATAGTTACATTCTCACTAAACATTGCCCATAGTTTCTTGGAAACTGTGGATTTCAGCCAAACAACATAGAATAAAACTCCAAACCCTCCTAATATTAAATGTTGAAAGAAATATGGGCTATACCTATATTTAAGACAGATGAATCAAAATGAATAAGACAATGATTTGCTCAATTTTTTATGAACTAGTGAGTGAGGGCGGTTGTAGTGTAGTGGGTTAAATGGAGGAATAAATGTTTGCAATCACGGATCATCAGAAGCAACTCCTACCACCACAGTTAAAAGCAATCACAAATAGGGTGGGCTTGCTGAGCGCTTTCCTGATGCATTGTTTATTGTCACACATTTTTATGATTACCATAGACTTGATGAATTTGTATTTGACAATCATTTGTATTCATTCATTTATTCATTTTCCAACTCACTTATTCCAGTTCAGGGTGGCAGTTAGCCTGAGCCTATATTGGCAGTTCAGGGAACCAGGTGGGAACCGGCTGGGGACAGGATGCCTTCTCATCATAGGATGCATCCACACACACCCACACACTCACTCAGACTGGGACATGTAGATGTGCCCATTCACCTCATGCACACAGCTTTGGAATGTGTGAAGAAATCTGAGTACCTGGAGAAAACCCACGCAGACAAGAGAAGGTGCAAACTCCACACAGGTGGTGGCCCTGAACAAGAATCAACTCTTTTTTTCATCAACCTTATAAGGAAACAACGTTGAACAACATGTTTTTTTGAGGACCTGCTGTACAGCCAACTTCATACTTTAATATATATAATTTGGTAAGATTTGACATATGTCTATTTATAAAATTGTTAACCACAATCAAGATAACAGACATTTCCATCACTCCTAAATGTTCCCCTATACCCTTTATAATCTACCATTTCCTCCACCTCGATTTTTAAAGAACCACTAATCTGCTTTCTTTCACTATAGACTAGTTTGATTTTATAGAATTATTGTTTCTTAGTTTTTTTTTTTTGTCTTGCCTCTTTCATTTAGGATACTAATTTTAAGAGTAATCCAAGGTGTCAGCTGGCCCGGATTCTTATGTGGAACTCAGGGGGATAATCCACTTCCATGCTTATTAATGTTGGCAGAATTGTGTTCCACCCAGCCATAGCAGGGAGATTCCCTTGTCTGTCAGAGGGACATTGTTCTCAGGTTCTGAAACCACTCATATTCCTTGGCTTATAAACCACTTCATCCAGACTCAAAGCCAGCAATGGAATGAGAAGTCAAATCTCTCTGACCTCATCCACCCCGCCTCTCCCTCTGCATTTCTGTTATGCTTGCCGCCACAGAAAGTTTTAGGGGTTTTTTGTTTTGTTCTGTTTTTTTGAGACGGAGTCTCACTCTGTCACCCAGGCTGGAGTGCAGTGACGCGATCTCGGCTCACTGCAACCCTCCGCCTCCCGGATTCAAGCAATTCCCCTGCCTCAGCCTCTCGAGTAGCTGGGAAAACAGGCGCATGCCGCCACGCCCGGCTAATTTTTTGTATTTTAGTAGAGACAGGGTCTCACCATATTGCCCAGACTGGTCAAGTTCTCGGTTTCTAAAGACTCATGTGATGAGGCTGGATCCACCCAGATAATCCAGGATAGTCTGTTTATCTTACAGTTTGTAACCTTAGTATGAAATCCCTTTGTCAATGCTGTATAGCATTCACAAGTTCCAAGGGATAGAGGGTAAATATTTTGGGGAGGCCATTCTTCTGCCTATCACATCTTCCTTCAGTTGCTTCAGTCACAATCAAATTCTCATGTTCATTAGACTGGATCTATCCTAATAAAGTCGAAATCTCTCCCTCCTTCTCCTTGGAAATTCCATTGTGCCATCTGGTTTTTCTGGTGAGATATTTTCAATAGGCCCCATTGACTCGAAATTTTTCCTGAGTGACTTCTATATTCTCTTGCCTTAAGTGAATATGGCTATCACCTGAGTAAACTGCTGCTTCTGCTATGTTCTTGGAGGAGTCAATTTATTTTTGCCCATGTAAAAGCACCCCTGGCCAAAATGTAATGTCAGGCTACCTACCTCCATATTGCCAATTACAAGCCACTTTCCCTCCCTTTCTCCCTCTTATGGCATTTGAAGCCCATGATATAAACCACACATCCATTATCTCTGTTTTTAAAATAATCTACCATTATCTTGATCACTTTTCTTCAGTCATTGAAGATATCAGCACCTGGATTACGACCATCTCTTCATTATTATTTCTAACATAAAAATTAGATATCCACACAGATAAACCAAGCAACATATTGGACTCTCAGTCTTGAATTCCTTTCTCTTCATGATCTTGTCGCGCACCCTCTTTCAACTCTTCAACTCCCAAATTGTATGCTTTTGTTCTTTTTCTTTCTTTCTTTCTTTTTTTTTTTTTTTTTTTTTTTTGAGACACAGTCTCACCCTTTCACCCAGGCTGGAGTAAAGTGCTGCAATCTCGGCTCACTGCAACCTCTGCCCCCTGGGCTCAAGGGATTCTCCTGCCTCAGCCTTCTGAGTAGCTGAGATTACAGGCACCCACTACCATGCCTAGCTAATTTTTTTTTGTAATTTTTGTGGTGACAGGGGATTTCCATATTGGCTAGACTGGTCTTGAACTCCTGACCTTAGGTGATCTGCCCACCTCAGCCTTCCAAAGTGCTGGGATTACAGGCATGAGCCACCGGGCCTGGCCCCAAATTGTATGCTTTTTCAGTTAGCAATAACTGTACAATGCTCAATGTCAAACATCCCTCTTCTTGACCACCAGCTCATATCTCTCCATTTTACTCCCTGTGTTATCCCAATCCAGCGATGCATTGACTCTGATGACATCTATAACGGATGAGCACCTCTTGTGTTCAACTGATTATTACCCTTCTCATGCTCTCAGTCTTCCTTTTTCTTCACTTAGCTTCCATGTTCTGTTATCCCTTACATGTGCCCTCACCATTGTTACTCCACTTCCCACCATGGTGTTCATCTGGTAAAATTCTAGTCATGGCTCAATCTATCTATTCTCAGCCTATACTTGAAGCAGAGAAAAATTTTGCAAGAGAAATGATACTTGCTGCTGATTTAATTTTCAACAAAATTTAAGAGTGATCTCAATGCTCCCAAGTAATTAAATACTTTTTTGTATTCAGTTCATTCTCTCAATCACCGAAGTGACTGCATCTCATCTCTCTCTAAAGTTCAACAATCTCTCCTCTTCCTCAATCTAAGTACCCACAATGATTTTTGTTTTACTGAGAAAATAGAAGCATGTAGAAGAAAACTTCTACATATGCCTCCTAAGAAATCTGCCAAAATACATTCTTCTGTACCAAAAATTTTGTTTTCCATCATGTTATAATGTATAAACTATTCTTGCTTTAATCTAGGTCTAACATCTTTCCCTTTCTTGAATCTACTCACACATTATAAAGGTCCAGTTTTTTTTGCAGTTATATTCTTTCTTTTGTTCATCATCATTTTTTTCTGTCCGTCTCTACTGGATAATTTTCATCAGCACATCAACATACCACTGTACATTTAAACATACATGTTCCTCTTTAAACCATATTTAACTGTTTCATTTTACTACTCCTCATTACAGTGAAACTGCTCAAGAGTTCTCTGCATCTTCTGTATCTAATTTATTTTCTCTCATTATAAGTTGAAACCTTCTAATCAGGTTTTGGCCCCTGACTTCACCCCCAAAACCAGCATCAATAAAGTCATAAGTTATATAGGCACTGAAAAATTTATAACAATTTTAAAGTTTACATCTTGGTTAGTCTGTGTCATTTGACGTAGTTGTTCAATTTATGCTTCCTGAAAAATGTCTACACCTTCGCTTCTGGAACATCTCTTGTGTCTCCTAATTCGCAAGCACGTCATTCTCAGATTTATTGGACAACTTTCCTTTCCATCTCAACCTCTAAATGTTTGAGTGTCCCAGGGTTCACTTCTCATCAATCTTTATTTCTGTGTCTGCATTCATTTAATAAGTGATCTCACTCAGCCTGATGGTCATAAGTATCCATCTGCCTGAGGATGATTCAAAAGTGTATATTTCTGTCCATCCTGCTTCTCTGAACTCAATGTTCTTTTGTACAAGCACCTATTCAACAATTCCACTTGGAAGTAAAATAAATAACTTAAATTGTTCAGGTCTAAAAATGAACTTTTGTTTCCCCTAGCATGTACACATTGCTTCCCTCTGTATTTCCATAACAATAAATGTTACTTTTATTCCTTCAGATGCTCAGACACAAGTCTTTGAATTAATTATTTTTGAGAACCCCTGTGGTGTGAGTCTCACAGTGTGAAAAGAAGGAATTAGCTATTGTACCTGTATTACTAAATGTTTTTGCATTCTTTAGTCTTCTTCAACCCAAGTCAATTCTGAACATGTTTTAGATTAGACTTCTAAATTCACAATCTTCAGAAATTCAATGGTTCTCTCTTACCTAGAGAAGGAAACGCCAGATTTTAAAATACTCATTCAAGGTTACTTGAATGAGTAACCTTACTCCAATCTTCCCTGTAAATTTCATCTCTACATTTTATGAACCTTCTATTTCTACCAAATATTCACACATGCATGCTTTCAACTCTTTTGATATTCTGCCCTGTTTTTTCTTTTCTCCCTTACAATGCCATCTTTTGAAATCTCTACCAATAATACTCTTAGTTTTTCTTATAAATATATGCTTTAAGTCCCAGCTACTACCATTTATTCTCTGTTAAAACTCTTCAGGTGTCTTCTGGTTTCCAAAGACGTGATTTTCTTCCTCTGAGCTTCTCCAAAGTTCATTCTGCATAATATTCATAAAGTACATAATGTATTATATCACTTATATACATATTTACATTTTTTAATTAAAATTGCCTAAATACTTGCAGGTGAAATTGTGACTAATAATTATCTGAATGTCTTGCAGTGCCTAGCACAGTACATTTACATCTATTTGATAACAAATAAATGCTTTTAAAATTTGAATTGGTCTTAGATATAAATTTAATCTCTAAAAAATAAAATTTTACTCTCATAAATAGCACAATTATTCTAAGATTGAGGATAAAAAAATATTAACTAGAGTACAGTCAGAACAAACAAACCACACCAATTATTTTAGCAGAGATAATTTAAAATAAAGAATTGTTGGGGCGAGCATGGAGGCTCATGCCTGTAATCCCAACACTTTGGGAGGCTGAGGCTAGCAAATCACTTGAGCCCAGGAGTTCGAGACCAGCCTAGGCAACATAGGGAGATCCTGTTTCTGCAAAAAAATTAGCCAGGATGGTGGCACATGCCTGTAGCTCCAGTTATTTGAGAGGCTAAGGTGGGGGGATCTTTGAGCCCTGGCAGTGAAGGTTGCAGTGAGCAGTGATTTTTGCCACTGCACTCCAGCCTAGGTGATGGAGCGAGACTCAGTCTCAAAAAAAAAAAAAAAAAGTTGAGTAGTTATTAAAAATGTGAAAATTCAAAGAAGTACACTAAGCTATCACACAATTATCAACTACAGGAAGCAGGTACAATCCTTAGTACTAGAGTACTAGAGTAAAGGGGGAGAGATTAAGATTATTAAAATTATTAGACATTTCGCAGAAGATTTCTGGAGCTACAACACAGAACTTGAAGGAGTAGGCATTGCTCAGTGAATGACGGTGTCTCTTAGCTCATTGAAAAGCCACATGGTGATGGGCAATAGACCTACTGAAGGGACTTTCAACTGGCTGCTACTGACTTGTGTGAGGGGCCTAGATGAAGCTGGTGCTACAAGTATTGTGGAAAACTGCATACTAGAATTAATTGCTGCTACAATTACCGCTGCTGGAGGGAAGAAGTATTGCTGAAATGACACTAGAAAAAATTGAAGGCCAAAAAAAAGAGGAAAAGGTAATGAATGGGAAGGAGTGTATTTTCCCTCCTCCTGCTTTTGAATTTCTTTCTAGTGTTCCTTATTGGCAGGGCCTGAAGAGAGCAGATGCAAAAACTGAAATGTGGTTGGCAGAGTCCTGGCCCCAGAATTACAAAGCAGAATATAGAAGAGTGAATTTGAAACAGAAATAGCAGCTTAATTCCTGGCACACACAGACACCCCTTAACTCCAAATGCTGATTGCTCCCTTACAAACTACAGAGTCAAAGACGTAAAATGAGCAAAAGAAAATTACTTAAAATAGATGAATATCTTGTTGTGATGTTTAGTGATGTTTCAAAAATATCCCTGTTTTATTGCAACACCATGATGTATATACTAGGGTGAACGGGTTAAAAAAAAAAAAACACTGATGTTTTAAAAAATTCTTTGAAATTTTAAAGTGAAGTTTAATAAACAATCTTAGAGGTTTTTCCTTGAATCTTTGGCTTGCCAATCGGTAATTCAACAGGTTTTACATTTTCATGGGTTTTTATTTATTTTGCATTTAAGAAATTCTTGATTATTTTATAGTATTCTATTACTTTGCTGCTAATGTATTCTCAAGTGTTTACTGCAGCTATCCTTTGGAATATTTTCTTATACAACTGATCTACCCAAGAGGAACAAGTGTATTACAACAAATCCCTCTGAGGCTTGCTCAGAAATCCTCTGGTCAAAAGGAAGATATACGCACTAGACTGTATTTCTTCTAAACTGAATTCCTAAGACTTGTCTGTCAGGTCTGGGGAATTGTGTTAGCTGCCACTACTAAGTCAGGAAGACTTGCAAACCAAGGAACAAAGGATCCTATTAAATAAAAAAAATTTATATTGTGACTTATATTCTCTACTCCAGTTCAAGTTTATCAGGGAAATGTCATGTTGCAGCTGAATTAATACTGATCAAGCTCAATTTGCATATAATTTGGCTTTCGAGAAGAGATGGAGAGGAAGAGAGTGAGAAGCATAATATTTTATTAAATCAGGTATACTTGCTTTCCTTATATTGTTTCAAATGGAAAAACTTTATTTAATAGGAAAGCATTTTGTATCATCCAAATCTCTTGCCACCATGGTAGACGATCCCAGATGAAGGGGTTTGCACAGTAGTGTAAGTCTATCATGATTGGCACTGATGAAATTCTCAGTGCTTAGCAAGAATATGTGATATAAGAAATTATTCATTCAAACATCAAATATTAGTGGAATGTCTACTATTTATGAATCATTGAATCCAGTAATTTAAAGCATTTTTTCCTAATCCAAAAAGGAAAAAGCTTTCTCTTTCTTTCTCATTCCATATAGCCTTCTGACTTTGATTCATATTAAGAATATATACCTAGATATAATACTAAGAATTTCAATTGAGAGATCAGTCTTATCTAAGCAACTGACTTTGATTTGTTCTGAGGTTCATAAAACCCACTCCAGTTTCTTCAATATTTAGTTACATGGTCTGCTACTCACACAAAATAGAATTTCCTTTGCTTACCTCCTTTGCAACCATATGTGACCATTTGACTAATTCTGGGCAATGAGTTGTAAGCAGAAATGTTGTGAAAGGCTTCTGGGTAATCTTAAATGGAGCTGAATTGTCTAGAAGAACATTTCTGTTTGTTTGTTTTGTTTTGTTTCCATTTCCTTTTCTTCTTCTTCCAGCCTGAAACTCAGAGCTCCACCAGCTATTTTATTTTTATTTTTGTTTTTTTGAGACAGAGTCTTGCTCTGTCACCCAGGCTAGAGTGCAGTGGCACCACCACAACTCAGTACAGCCTGGAGCTCCTGAGCTCGAGCAGTCTTCTTTCCTCAGCCTCCTAAGCAGCTGAGACCACAGGTGCATACCACCAAGCTGTTTTTTTGTTTTGCTTTGTTTTGTTTTTTATACAGACAGGAGTCTTTCTATGTTGACCAAGCTGGTCTCAAACTTCTGGCCTCAAGCAATCCTCCCACCTCAGCTTCCCAAAGTGTTGGGATTACAGTCATGAACCATCATTCCTGGCACACTAGCCATCTTAGACTTTGAACGTGAACTTGAAGAACAAGTCTAGTGCTAGAAAGATGAAATAATCATGGAGTCACTGTAGTAATCTTGCAGTGACTGTCCTGTAATCTGCTTTACGTGACAAGAAAAAATCAAACTATATTTTATATGAATCACTGTAATACAGATTTTTCTCACATGCAATTGAACCTAATATTCCCTGAAAATCAAACAAAATCTTTGTTGTAGAAAACTATAGGTGTTTTCATGCTTTTAACGCTTTCCTTAAAATTTCAGTTTAAATTTTTAATTTAAATTTCTACCTAAATTATTTAGAATTTCTTTTTTCCTTTTAAATGTTATAAGAAACTCAATATGATTTATCTGTTGTGCAAGAATCCCCCTTTGTCTTTTTCATGTTGTTAGAGATCTGGTTCTGCCATTTTTACAATAAACACATCAGTTTTTACAATAAAGACATCAATAAACACATGATGTGTTTTACAATAAACACATCAATTTTTTACAATAAACACATCAATTTGTTTTTAATTTAACAGCTGATGATTAAATTTATCAAGTATGTATTGATTTCTGTTTCCACTACTCATTTTGAATTCCTCACTTTACTTCCATGAGTAGTTTTCTTTTGATTTGTGTAAATGATTTCTTAATACTTTTTATAATTTGTATATCTGTACATCTGTACATGTTTTTATGTCAGACTCTCTTGAAAGATAGTTCAGTTCAATATAGAATTTTAGATTCCTAATAATTTCTTTTAGAACTTTGAAAATATCACTTTATTTTCTTCTGGAGTGTATCATTGCTTAGGAGATATCATCTATATATCCGCGACTCATTTGAGTTATTCTATCTCTATCTTTTTCTATGGTATATTCTCTCTTTCTACTGATGTTCTATATTTCATAATTATGAATCTTAGGATGCATTTATTTTTACTTAATCATTTTGATTCTTAGAGGTTTTGTTGTTTTGCTATTTTTTTTAATGTGAGGAGTTACATCTTCAATTATCAGGAGCTCTCAAATATTATCTCTTCACTGGCATGTCTTCAATTTTCATATCCTAGAACTTCTATTAGATATTTACTCAACTTGAGCTAATATTTGAATATAATAGAAATTATGGTTCAAAGTTCAGTGATTTGCACATGGTTATCCAATTTTTTCAGCAGCTCTTGTTGAAATACTGTCCTTTCATCACTGAATTGCCTTTGAGCCTTCCTCAATATTTAATTGTCTCTATAGGGCTCATTTTGTTCATCTATTTATCACTGCACTGATACAACGCTGTTTTCATTACTGTAGCTTTATCATAAGTACCAAAATTATGTAATGTTAGTTCTCCAAATTTGCTTTCCTTTTTAAAGTTTTGATTATTCTCAGTCTTTATACTAAAAATTCTGCGAAGATTTTGATTGGAATTGCAAAAAATATGTAGATCAATTTGGGGAGAATTGACATAATAATATTGATTGTTCTGACCCAAGAGAACAAGATGTAGGTTTGAATTTTTATTACACTTTTAAAAATCGATTTTACCAATGCTTTGGAATAGTTTTGGAACAGTTCTTCCTGCCCGCTGCACAGACAAAACCAATTCACTGAGAGCACTGCATTGTGATAAAGAAAGGGTTCAGCTGGCAGGAGGGCGACCACATCACGTGAGTGATGAGTTATTACTCAAATCAATCTCCTTAAGAATTCAGAGCCTAGGGTTTTCAAGGAGAATTTGACAGACACAGGCCTAGAGGAATGGGTGTTGCTGATTGGTTGGCATTACAATCATAGGGGTGTGGGAAATGGTCCTCTTGCACTGAGTCCATTTCCGGACGGGATCGCAGGACTGGTTGGAGCGTGAGGGTGGAGCCATTGGTTTTCAGAAATGCAAAAGCCTGAAAAGACATCTCAAAAGGCCAATCTTAAGTTCTACAATAGTGAAGTTATCTGCAGTTACTACTGGGAAAGTTCCAAATCTTGTGACCTCTGGAATAATGGCTGATAATCATTTATATCTAAACCTTAGCATAATCCAGGTTCCTCTCATCCTCCTAACCTGGAGCTCTTTCATTAGTTTTACAAAGGTGGTTTAGTTTTGGCAAGGGCTATTATCATTTAAACTATAAACTGACTTTCTCCTAAAGTTAGCTTGGCCCAAGCCCAAGAACGACCTAGGGCAATTTGGAGGCTAAAGGCAAGATGGGGGTTGGTTAGATCAGATCTCTTTAATTGTCATAATTTTCTCACCTTTATAATTTTGGCAAAGGTAGTTTCAGTTTTGGTGTGTGAGTCTTGCACATATGTTCTGACATTTATCCCCAAGCATTTCATCTATTTTATGTCATTGTGTATGATTTTTTTTTACTTCAGTTGCTAACTGCTTACTGTAAGCATATAGTGATATAATTGATTTTTGTATGTTTATCTTGTATATTGCAAACGTGTTATACTCACTTAACTTTGTGGCTTTATTCATAAATCCCATCCAATTTTCCACAGTCAATCATGTCATCTGTGACTAAAGACAATTTTGTATCTTTATTTCCAACCTGGATGCTTTTATTTATTTTACTTGATTTATTGCACTGATTAGAACTTCTAGTAAAGTATTGAATAGAAGTTGTGAAAGAGGTTATCTTGTCTTGTTCCTGATCTTAGGTGGATATTCATCAGTAAATATAATGTCCCCTGTAAATCTTTTATGAATGTTCTTTATCAGATTGGAAACGCTTTCTTATATTCCTGTTGACTAAGAGTTTTTATCAGGCAGAAATGTTGGACTTTGTCAAAGCTTACTCTACATCTACAAAGGTGATCAGATAGTTTACTTTTTTAGTTAGTTAATACGGCACATTATGTTGGATGATTTTGAAATTTTAAACTCTTACATTCTGGAGTAAACTTCACTTAGTCATTGTATTAGTTTCCTATTGCTGCTGTAACAAATAGCAAAAAAAAAAATCAGTGGTGCAAACATATTATTTTTATTGTGGAGGGCAGAAGTCCTAAAATTGATGTGTTTGTAGGGCTACATTTCTTCTGGGGGCTTTCTTGCCTTTTCCAACTCCTAGAGACTGTGTGCATTCCTTGGCTCATATTCTTTCCTCTGTCTCTTGAAGAAGCCAGCCCATAGTTCACCTGTCTCTCTCTTTCTCTCTTTCTTTCTCTCTCTTCTCATCTATGACTCTATAATCACATTTCCTTGTCTGACTTTGGTTCTCCTGACTCCCTGTCTCCCTTATAATGTCACTCACCTGGCTAACCCAGGCAATTCTCCCTATATGAATACTCTTAATTTAATCACATATGCAAATCCCTATTGCCACATAAAATAACACATTCGCGGGTTCTGGAAATTAAGACATGGGCATCTTTGGTGGGAGGGGCACTTTTCTACCAACTATTGCTATATATATACATATATATATGTATATATATAGTATGTTTGTTTGTTTAGGGCATTTAATCCACATTTATAAAAATATTGATATTGCTGGGCGTGGTGGCTCACGCCTGTAATCCCAGCACTTTGGGAGGCTGAGGTGGGCAGATCACGAGGTCAGGAGATCAAGACCATCCTGGCTAACACGGTGAAACCCTGTCTCTACTAAAAATACAAAAAAATTATCCATGTGTGGTGGCAGGTGCCTGTAGTCCCAGCTACTTGAGAGGCTGAGGCAGGAGAATGGTGTGAACCCAGGAGGCAGTGGTTGCAGTGAGGCGAGATCACGCCACTGCAGTACAGCCTGGGTGACAGAGCGAGACTCCGTCTCAAAAAACAAACAAACACAAAAAGTTGATATTTAGTTTTCTGTTCTTATAATGTCTTTGTCTTGTTTTGATATCACGATAATGCTGGCCACATAAAATAACTTGTAAAATCGGCTCCCTCTTCCATTTCCAGGAAGAGTTTTATAGATTTAGTATTATTTCTTTCTTTAATGTTTGGTAGAATTCAGTAATGTTTGGTAGATGCCAGTAAAGTCATCTAATGCTTGGAGTGGCCTTTGTGGGAAGATTTTCAACTACAAATTCAATTTATTTAATAGATACAGGACTCTTAGAATTACTTATTCATATTTAAATGAGATTTGGTAGTTAGCATTTCTCAGGAATCTTATTCATTTCATCTAAATTGTTGAATGTATTGTCACAAAGTTTTTCATAATATTCTCTTATTTTTTAAATATTTGTAGAATGTGTATGGGGAGTGTTATCAGCTCTCTCATTCTTAACATTGGTAATATTACCTTATCTCTTTTTGTCCTTATCAGATAGGCTATAAGTTTATCAGTATTATGGATTTTCTCAAATATCTAACTTTCAATTTATTTTCTCTATTGTGTTTCTATTTTATTGATTTTTATTTTGATCTCTATTGTTTCATTTCTCTGCTTACTTTACATTTAATTCGTCTTTCATTTTTTAGTGTCTTGAATGGAAGATTTCTTGTTTTTTAATAGAGTCATTTAATAACAGAAACTTCACCCAACTACTGATTTAGTGGCATTCCACAAATTTTAATATATTTTATTTTCATTCTCCTCCAGTAGCAAATATGTTCTAATTTCTATTTTTTTCTTCATTGGCACATAGATTATTTAGAAATATATTGTTTTGTTTTCACATTTTGGGGGAGTTTCAAGAGATCTTTCTGTTATTGATTTCTAATTTAACTTCATCACAGTGAACTAGCATACTTCTCATAGCTTAAAATTTTTCTAATTTATTTGGATTTGACTGATGGCACAGAATATGGTCTGGTACAGTAAATATTCCACATGTGCCTGAAATAAATATGCAGACTGGTGTTTTTGGGTGACGAGTTCCATAAATTGTAATTAGGTCAAGTTATTGAATATTTTATTTAAGTCATCTAATTATTTGCTGACTTTCTGCCCACAGTTCTGTCAATTACAGATAGAGAGATACTAAAATCTCCAATTATTAACTGTAGATTTATTTATCCTTGCAATTTTATTAGGTTTTTTTCCATGTATTTTGAAGCTGTTATTAGGTGCATGTTAGTTCATTTTATGCTGCTATAATAGGATACCACAGACTGGGTAATTGATAATCAATAGAAATTTATTTCTGACAGTGTTGGATGCTGGAAAGTACAAGATCAAGGCAGTAGCAGGTTAGTTTTCTGGTGAGGGTCTAGTCTTACTTTCTAATATGGCACCTTAAGTGCCACATCCTTATGAGGGAAGAAATAAGTATCCTCACATGACAGAAGGCAGAACTGCAAAGGTGGCAAAATACCTCTGTCAAGCCCTTTTATATAAGGGTGCCTAATCCAATTGGTTAATTCTTGGCTCAATAACCTCCCAAAGGCCATGTCTCCCAATACTATTGAATTCAGGATTCAGTCTCAACAAGAATTCTGGAGAGGACAAAAATAGTGAAATCATATCAATGCATAGTCTTTAGGATAGTTGTGGTGTCTTTATGGACTTAACTCTATATCTTTATGAAATTGACTCCTTTAGCCTTGTTAATATTCTTTCTTCTGAAATATTTGTCTGATATTAGCATACTCACCCAATTTTCTTCAGTTAGTTGTTAACATATCACTTTCTATCATTTTACTTTAATGCATTTGTGTACGTATATTTTAAGTGCTTCTTGTAGTCAGCATGTAATTAGGTCTTGCTTATTTATCCATGATAAATATATTCATTATACAGATATGGCAATCCGTAGGTTTTAATTTGGATGTTTAGACTATTTACGTTTAATGTGGTTATTTATATTTTCATACAGAACTCTATCGTCTTACTCTTTGTTTCTATTGACAAATCTGTTTTTTTTTTTTCTATTTCCTTTTTGCTTACCTCATCTTGGATTAATCCAGGGGTTTTTAATGATACAATTTATCTCCTTTGTTAGATTATTACCTATAATTATTTGTTTTATTACTTTAATAGTTGCTTTCAAATATAGTATAAATATGAGTATTTGAACTCATTATAGTCTATCTTTCAATAATACTCCATCAATTCAGATATAGCATAAAAAATGTACAAAAATATAGTTCTATTTCTCCCTTCCATGACTTTGTGCTATTGTTTTCAAATATTTTACTTTTACTTATATCATAAACTTTATACTATAAACTCCACATTATGTTTTCATTGTTTATCTTTAAACAGCTGTATTTTAATATATTTAAAAATAAAATTATGTGTATTTAACTAGGTAGTTACCAAGTCCAATGCATATAATTCCTTTTTGTAGTTCTGCATTACTGTATTGTCTCATTTTTCTTTTTGCCTGAAAGGTATTCTTTACTAATTTTTGTAGTGCACATCTGAGACTGAATTATTATTTTACCTTTTGTATATGTGAAAAAGTCTTTCTTTTGACTTAATTTTTTCATATCTTTTCTTGATATAAAATTATAAGTTAATAAAAGGCTTTTGTTTGCTTCTTTCTTTTTGTTTCCAGTACTTTAAAAAATATTACCCTCCTGTCTTATAACTTTTTATTCTGATGAGAGATTTTCTGTCATTCTTATCTTGAACATATATCAACAATGTGTCATTTTATCTCTGCATGCTTTTAAGATTTTCTCTTTATAATGAGTTGATATGGTTTGCATGTTCTGTCTCCTCCAAATCTCATGTTGAAATGTGACATCTAATGTTGAAGGTGGGCCTAGTTTGTGGTGTTTGGGTCAGGGGGATGGATCCCTCATGAATGACTTGGTGCTTTCCTCACAGTAATGAATGAATTCTCAGTCTAAGAGCTCACATAAGATCTGGTTTAAAAGAGCCTGGCACCTCCTGCCCTCTCTTTTGCTCCCTCTCACCATGTAATGTGTCAGCTCTCACTTTTCCTTCCACCATGATTATAAGCTTCCTGAAGCCTCACTAGGAGGTGAGCAGATATTAGCACCATCCTTGTACAGCCTGCAGAACCATGTGACACATAAACCTCTTTTCTTTATAGATTGCTCAGGCCAGGAATGGTGGCTCATGCCTGTAATCCCAGCACGTTGGGAGGTTGAAGCAGGAAGATTGCCTGAGGTCAGGAGTTCAAGACCAGCCTGGCCAACATGGTGAAACCCCATCACTACTAAAAATATCAAAATTAGCTGGGCATGGTGGTGAGTGCCTGTAGTCCCATCTACTCAGGAGGCAGAAGAATTGCTTGAACTTGGGAGTTGGAGGCTGCAATGGGCCCAGGTCATGCCACTGCACTGCAGCAACAGAGCAAAAAAGAAAAAAATAATAAAATTACAGTCTCATGTATTCCTTTATACCTATGTAGAACAGACTAACACACTAGTCTTGAATAATATTATTTAATGTGTTAATGTGTATTGGTATAGATTTTTTCATATTGTGCTAGGGTATCATTGAGCTTATTGAATCTATTTTCTTATAGTTTCAATAAAATTGGGAGGAAAATGGGAAATTATTTCTCAGATATTTTTGTATTTTTATTTGGAATCCACAGTGATTTCGATCATACATGTATTGAATGCTTGAAATTGTCCCAGATGTCACTGATACTTTTTTCATTTTTTGTTATTTTAGAAAATTATTCTGTACTTCATTTTGAACTGTTTATATTGCTATGTCTTCAGGCTCATTAATCTTTTTTTTTTTTTTCCCCACAGTGTCTAATCAGCCATTGATCTCATTCAGAAAACGTTTCAACTAACACATTTTAGTTTTCACCTCTCAAGTTCAAACTGGGTCATTTTAAACTATCTTCTGTGCTTCCACTTAATTCTTTGAACATACAGAGAAGAGTTTTGCCAATTATTTTAATGCCATTTTCTACTATTTCTAACATCAACCTGAGTTCTGGATCAGTTTTAATGGGGGTAATTCTGCTCTTCGTTGTAGGTTGTAATTTCCTGTTTGTTTGTATGGTGCCATAATTTTTGATTGATGCCATACTCTGTGGAGTTTACCTTCTTGCATACTGGAGCTTTTACATTCCTTTAACTATTCTTGAGCTTTGCTTTAAATTACTTGGAAAGACTTTGATCCTACAAGACTGATTCACTAGGCATTACTAGTTTTCTCCTTTTCCCTCAATACTAAAGCGGAATCTTTCTGAGTGTTCTACCCAGTGCCCCATACATTTTTGATGTTTTCCAGTCTGGCTGGGAAACACATGTTATTAACTGCTCAATGTGAACACCAAGTACTGATTCCCTCTAACCCTTTGGGATGGTTCTTCCCCGGCCCTGAGTGTTTTCCTAATGCATATGACATATATGCTAATCAGTACTTTGTGGCATACCCAACAGGGACCTTACGTAGATCATCAGAGTTTTCTCTTTCTGTAGCTCTGTCTTCCCTGGTACTTTGTCCTGTGAACTATAAGCATTTTTGTCTCACTGAATTTTCAACTATGTCTCGACTTAGTGAATCAACTAGGCTTTACCTATGTTTTCTTTTCCTGTACTACATTCTGGCATCTCTATGAAGTCAGTAAGCTGAGACAATCATAGGGTTTACTTCATTTTTCTTTCTTTTTCTAAAATCACTGTCCTTTACTCCTCCTTATAAAACTCTATCATTTAGGAAATACTTATAAATTCAATAAGTTATTTTGTATAAGAAGAAACGTAGGCTCAGAAAAATTGATTTCTCTCTTACTGTTAGTGTGATTACAAAAGCACTTTCCATTAATTTACCTTGTTTGTTACTGAAAACGTGTGCTAAAATTGTCCCTAATCATTCTGCCCCATCTCCTTAAACTGTTTATTGAGAATTGGTGGGATAGAACAAGATCCACTCCCAGTTTTACATATGCAATGCTAATCTGCACGACCACAGTGATCTTCCAGACTTTCATTCTATAGTATTCTTATGTATTCCTAGTTAATTTAAAGTTAGCTGTTGTAGTTGGAAATAAAAATAGAGTTACACTGTATAAAGCTTGATATACAATCTTGCAACTTATGATTGAAGCAAACATCAAAGAACAATAATGGAGAAACATGCTCCTCACTTTCTCAGTGCCGTGTCCTCAGTCTCCGACATTTCTCTATCTCAGAAAGGTAGAGATGAGTCATTGGTTGACTCTGGACCCACATTACAGGGCACCTTTTTAGCTATTTGGAATTATTTTCAATTAACGACACCAGAAAATGAGGGTTATGAAAAAAACCCAGCATTTTCTTTATTTTTGAGTAGTTATTTTCCACCTCTTAAAATTTTTTTAATCAAAAGAAGAAAAAGGCATGCATGAAATATAGGGTTTTAATAAATCCAAGTACAAAGGTGAACCTACCAGCTGCACAGCTCCACTGCAATTCTAGGAAATTAAAATTTTCATGCATTATCTGAGGCAATGTACAATTTCTGAAGGTCAGGCACCTCCCGGAATGTGTAAACTACAAGAGCAAACTTTAGCTTCATTCATTCTTCATTGAGGATCTTTATTTCTGATCCCAAAAGAAAATTTGCTTTTTAATAATGGTAATATTACTGACCTTTTCCAATGACCTGTTGATTGATTATATAACCTTTCAGTCTGCTGTAGCATTGGGTGCCTTCAGCCTGTGTCCCATACACCAATTTAACTCAATGCGAAGAAAACACATGGGTTGACCTATGGAATAAGAATTATAAAACATTTGGGCTATTGGGAATGCCTGTGTTCCAGAAAAGATAAAAAAGTAATTAACTATTGATCAAGCAAAAAAATCAAGAACATAGAAGCAAGAGGATAGGTATTACTTTCCCTATGGAATCTTAGTTACCCAGGTAACCATATCCTGATTTGGCATTGTAGATCTTTAGATGTGTGTTTGGAAAGGAAAAAGGCTTCCATATTTTTTTAAAAAAAATATTTAATTTTTGCATATGAGAAAATTATCACAAAGCAAGTGTCATTTGGAAGGGCAGATAAAAACTCAAACATAAAACTCATAATAGGTGTATAGTGCAAAATTTCCCTAGAATGATAATTAATGCTTAGAGGAAGGACTGATTTAAACAACTACCAGAAAAAAAAAGTAATATCATAACAAGTTAGAAGAACTGTTTCAGCCAAGGCATTTAGGATCTGCCATCCTCTAATATTAAAAATGAAAATAAAGGAGAAAACAGATGAGGTACTAATATTTTATTCTATTTTAAATTTGCCCTTAGTTCTATTTTTGTTTCCATATCTTTTAAAGATCAATTTTCACATTTACACTATTTAAGCAGAGATAATTTTGAATGTGGAATAATGTCAAATATATACTTCATTTTATCATTAGGACCACGATATTCATGCATTGAATAAGTTTTCCTTGTTGAGACTATGCTACCCTAAATAGCACCTCTGCCCTCAACAATGGCAGTTGGAATTATAGGAATTTGTTGTTATGGGAAAAAAGAGGGAGAACAACCAGTTATTGGTGTGTGTGTGTGTGTGTGTGTGTGTGTGAACTTAGTCTCTTCCTGTAATGTCAAGAAAGTGATTCCATGATCCAGAATCAAGTTTTCTATTTGAGACCAAGTATTTAAGTCATTCAGGAGAATTTACAGTATGCATACAGAGATATCTGAGATATCTTCTCAATATTCTTTGGGAAATATATTTTTTCCTAATCCTAATTCTGAGAAAAATAAATTAAGAAATCAGAAATTAGAAAATATAATTCTCCTGTGGGAATTAAAATTAAACTATTAGCATAGAAATGTAAAGCTTTGAAAGAATCCACTCATGTCAAATTGAAAGCAGAGCAAAACACGCTGGCAGGTGGAGTAGACAGTTATGGCTAGCACTTCTAGAAACCAGAACAGAGGCAGGTAGACAAGAAGTGATCACAATGTAGTCAGTCAATCTCGCCTGTGGCCTGTGGCATAATGTAAGTGTGCATTGTAGCCCTATCTGCTAACATTGACTTATTCATTCTTGCAAATAAAATACATGTTAATACATTTATACTCATAGTATGCTTTATACTCATCCTAAAAATGGCATTTCAGCAATTAAGTTTGAAAGCAAAATAAGTTCCTATATTTACAATTTGACACATGATTATGTGTCGTGCTTTTTATCCTTGCAAAGAAATACTAACGTTGTGTTATCTGAATACCACCCAAAAATGCTCACTTGCCATCTTACAGTTTTGAATATTTGCTAAGATACAGGATTTTAAAAAACACATTAATAGAAGAAATGCATTGGGCAGACGTGAACATGATTTACTGAAAATCTGTTAAGAGCAACAACAATATCGATAACAAAGGAAAAAACAAAATCAGGGCAAACAGCCAAAATAGTTTAATCATGAAAAAGAAAAGGAGCTCATATAAAACAACTTGTATCCTAAGACCCTACATGAAAATGCTTTTAGAAACACTCAATATTATTTAATCAATTTCATTTCAAATTGAAAGGATGTTTTCTACGTCTCACATTTTTTTCATGTAAAAACTACAAGATAGGACAATAGATGTTTTGAAAATTTTATTTTAAGAATGATAATTTTTGCGGCATGATTATCTTTCAAATTTTAAAATAATTTTACTTGACATGGTTATATTTCTGTTTAATATTCTCTATTATAAAATATTGATACTAAGTATAGATTATACATGATATTGAAATTCATAATCTTGACAAAATTTATTAATTTATAACAAAAATAAATCATACGCATATTAATATTGCTTTACAGAAAAAAACCCTAAAACTTCTTAGCAAAGAAAAAGGGTTCATTCTGTATTATTATGATCTTTCATCATTACTTAACTATATATATATAAAATATTAAGAGAATATAAAATACTTTATGGTTTTAGATAATCTTTAAGCAATTCCTGGAATTTTGATTTCTTTTTCTAAAATCCCAAGAATTAATATTTGTTAAGTATTTGCAAGCATTAGGAACTTTTAATTATAATATTATTTTTTTTAAAATCTCGTCAGTTTTACATTTCACCTTCTGCTTACAGTGCATGAGGCTTCTTTTGAAGACTTGCTTTCACCCCTCAACACTCCAGGTTTTTCTAACATGCCTAAAAACCCCACTCTCCATGGATACAAAGCTGGACATGAGATCCTGGCTTGGCTACTCAGAGTTCTCTCAAATTTCCTGAATTTGAGGTACAGGCATCCTTTTCTGTCTTTTATGTTGACTTTTATTGTACATAAACTCAAGATGCCAGCAACAATTGCCACTGACCAGATAGAATTGCTGGAGAGAAAGGCCAGTCAACACAATTGGAATTATTTTCAATTAACGACACCAGAAAATGAGGGTTATGAAAAAAACCCAGCATTTTCTTTATTTTTGATTAGTTATTTTCCACCTCTTAAAAGTTTTTTAATCAAAAGAAGGAAAAGGCATGCATGAAATAATTTTAATAAATCCAAGTACAAAGGTGAACCTACCAGCTGCACAGCTCCACTGCAATTCTAGGAAATTAAAATTTTCATGCATTATCTGAGGCATTGGTAGTTTTTCAACCCCTGCCTACCTCTCTCTTTTCCCCCTTTTGTTGTCTTCAGTGTCTATTGGTTCCCATATTTATGTCCATGAGTACCCAATGTTTAGCTCTCACTTATTAGTGAGAACATGCAGTATTTAATTTTCTGTTTCAGTGTTAATTTGCTTAGGATAATGTCTTCCATCTGCATTCATATTGCTGAAATGGACAGGATTTAGTTCTTTTTTGTGGCTGTGTAGTAATCCATGGTGTAAAAATGCCACATTTTATTTATCCAATCCACAGTAAATGGGAACCTAGATTGATCTCATGTCTTTGCTATTGTGAATTGTGCTGTGACAAACATGCAAATACAGGTGTCTTTGGTAGAATGATTTATTTTTGAAGGTGGGGGGGTATATACCCAGTAATGGGATTGCTTGATCAAATGGTAACTCTATTTTTAGTTCATCAAGAAATCTCCAAAATGCCTTCCACTATAGCTGAACTAATTTACATTCCCACCAACAGTGTATAAATGTTCCCTTTTCTCTGCAGCCTAGCCAATGTCTGTTATTTTGTGACTTTTTAATAATAGCCATTCTGACTGGGGTGAGATAGCATCTCATTGTGGTTTGATTTGCATTAATTAAACACCTTTAGCAACATATTAGTAAACAATTTATCTTTATTGAGTTTTACGGACTCAATTAATCCTGCCTAGTCTTCCTTAGTACTCTTAATATTTGTAATATAAGAAATGTTACTTTTATCACATAATTTATCCTTCATTTTAAATGAACAAAACCAATATTGATTTCATTTTCAGCATTGAAAAGAAACAACTAGCATATCTTCTTTCATAATATGCAGTCTTGTGGTTATTCATTAATTCAATAGGTAAAGGGTCTTCCACATTTGGGAGTTTATACCACATTTGCTTGCTGCTAAGACACAATCTATTGGGTTTTCTTTACTTTCCTTTCTTTCTAGTTTTACAGGAAGGAGATTGTATTAGTCCATTCTCACATTGCTATAAAGAAATACCTGAGACTGGATGATTTATTTTTTAAAAAGGTTTAATTGGCTCATGGTTCTGCAAGCTCTGCAGGAAGCATGATGCTGGCATCTGCTTGTCTTCTGGGTAGTCCTCGGGAAACTTACAATAATGGTGGAAGGTGAAGGGGAAGCAAACATGTCACACGGCCAGAGCAGGAGCAAGAGAGAACCTGAGGTGTCACACACTTATAAATAGCCAGATATTAGGAAAATTCACTCACTAGTACAAGGAGAGTACCAAGGGGATGGCGCTAAACCATTCATGAGAAATCTACCCCCATTATCCAATTGCCTCCCAACAGGCCCCCCACCTCCAACACTGAGTATTACAATTCAGCATGAGATTTGGGCAGGGAAACAGATCCAAACTATGTCAGAGATAAGTTTAATTATACTCTAGTTCACGACCCATTACCACACTTGTTCCCACCAAGCACTCCCTTGTTTTACTTAATCCCTTTTATCCACTTCCCCCACTCCTTCTTGCCTCCTCAGCATGAACAGCCATTTTAATATGTTGAATATGTATCTTTTTGTTTGCATGTGTGCCAACTATGACATATATTTCCTCACAGTCACTTCTTCCTTTAATCTGCCCACTTCTTCCACCTCAGTCAATGCTATAGCCCAGTGATTCCACTTGGGACTTTTAAATTCTCCCAGCACAACACAGTGAACCACACCATAAGGTATGGGATCTGTCTTCCCCAGAGACCAATTCCCTTCCTCAACCT